>NC_000022.11:28709564-28861079 GCF_000001405.40 Homo sapiens | reverse complement strand
GATACCAAAAAAATAGTTGTACCAATGGCCAACAAGTACATTAAATGATTCTTTGCATTATTAGCCTTCAGGGAAATGCACAATGAGATATTATTTCACATCCACTAGGATGGTCATGATTTAAAAAAAAAAAAAGGCCAGGCACAGTGGCTCACGTCTGTAATCCCAGCACTTTGGGAGGCTGAGGCAGGCAGATCATGAGGTCAGGAGTTTGAGACCAGCTTGGCCAACATAATGAAACCGTGTCTCTACTAAAAATACAAAAAAAAAATTAGCTGAGCGTGGTGGTGGGCACCTGTAATCCCAGCTGCTTGGGAGGCTGAGGCAGGAGAATCACTTGAACCTGGGAGGCAGAGATTGCAGTGAGCCGAGATCGGGCCACTGCCCTCCAGCCCGGGGGACGGTGCGAGACTCTGTCTCAAAAAAATAAGGGGGGGCTGCTGGGTGTGGTGGCTCATACCTGTAATCCCAGCACTCTGGGAGGCTGAGGTGGGCAGATCACTTGAGGTCAGGAGTTGGAGACCAACCTGGCCAACATGGTGAAACCCCGTCTCTACTAAAAATACAAAAATTGACTGGGCACGGTGGCTCCCTCCTGTAATCCCAGCACTTTGGGAGGCCAAGATGGGCAGATCACGAGGTCAGGAGTTCAAGACCATCCTGGCTAACACAGTGAAACCCCGTCTCTACTAAAAATACAAAAAATTAGCCGGCCGTGGTGGCGGGCGCCCATAGTCCCAGCTACTTGGAAGGCTGAGGCAGGAGAATGGCATGAACCTGGGAGATGGAGCTTGTAGTGAGCTGAGATCACACCACTGCACTCCAGCCTGGGAGACAGAGGGAGACTCTGTCTCAAAAAAAAAAAAATACAAAAATACAAAAATTAGCCGGGTGTGGTGGCGCGCACCTGTAAATCCCAGATACTTGGGAGGCTGAGGCATGAGAAATGCTTGAACCTGGGAGGCAGAGGTTGCAGTGAGCTGAGATCACACCACTGCACTCCAGCCTGGGTGACAGAGTGAAACTGTGTCTCAAAAAAAAAAAAAAAAAAAGTGTTGGTGAGAATGCAGAGAAATGGAAACCCTTGTTTATTGCTGGTAGGAATGTAAAGTGGTGAGCTGTTATGGAAAAGTTAGGCAGTTCCTCAAAAAGTTAATCATAAAATTACCATATGAGGGCTGGGTGTGGTGGCTCACACCTATAATCCCAGCACTTTGGGACGATCACAAAGTCAGGAGATTGAGAACATCCTGGCTAAAATGGTGAAACCCCATCTCTACTAAAAATACAAAAAATTAGATGGGCATGGTGGCAGGTGCCTGTAGTCCCAGCTACTCAGGAGGCTGAGGCAGGAGAATGGCATGAACCTGGGAGGCGGAGCTTGCAGTGAGCCGAGATCATGCCACTGCACTTCAGCCTGGGCAACAGAGCGAGAGTCTGTCTCAAAAAAAAAAAAAAAAAAAATTACCATATGGTCCATCGATTCACCTCCTAGGTATACGCCCAAAAGAATTGAAAGCAGGGACTTGTATGCAATGTTCATAGCAGCATTATTTAAAATAGCCAAACGTGGAAACAACCCAACTGTTCATGAACAGATGAATGAATACACAATGTGATGTAGACATTCAACGGAATATAATTCAACCTTAAAAAGGAATGAATTCTGATTCATGCTACAACATGCAAGAACCTGGAAAACATCATGCTAAGTGAAATAAGCCAGACACAGAAGGACAAATATTATGTGATCCCACTTGTATTTGGTACCTAAAATAGGCATAGTCACAGAGACAGAGAGTAGAATAGTGGTTACTAGGGGCTGCGTGAAGGAGAAATGGGGGGTTATTGTTGAATGGGTACAGAGTTTCTGTTTGGGAAGATAAAAAATTTCTGGAGATTGACAGTGATGATGGTTGTGTAACATTGTGAATGTGTTTAATGCTACTTTAAAATGGTTAAAATGGCAAATTTTATGTTATGTACGTTTTATCACAGTAAAAAATAATCACAGGCCGGGCGCTGTGGCTCACACCTGTAATCCCAGCACTTTGGGAGACTGAGGTGGGCAGATCACCTGAGTTCAGGAGTTCAAGACCAGTCCGGTCAACATGGAGAAACCCTGTCTCTACTAAAAATACAAAAATTAGCTGGGCATGGGGGCATGTTCCTGTAATCCCAGCTACTTGGCAGGCTGAGGCAGAAGAATTGCTTAAACCTGGGAGGCAGAGGTTGCAGTGAGCTGAAATCATGCCACTGCACTCCAGCCTGGGCGACAGAGCAAGACTCTGTCTCAAAAAAAAAAAAAAAAAAAAAAAAATCATACAAAAAAATCAATGAAAAGATGGAAAGAAATATACCATGTAAATTCTAATTAAAAAGCCAGGATGATTGTATTAAAAAGCAAATAAAACACTATGGCATGGCAGGCGCGGTGGCTCATATCTTTAATCCCAGCACTTTGGGAGGCTGAGGTGGAAGGATCACTTGAGCCCAGGAGTTTGAGACCAGCCTGGGCAACATAGTGAGACCCTGTCTCAAAGAAGAAAAAAATACTATGGCAAAGTGGCATGCTGCTGAATCTAAAGTAATTGTCATAAATAATTGCCTAATAAATATTTCATTTATAAAAAATTAACTTTTAAAATAAAGTTTCTGGGTCAGGAGCATACACTTTGTTTTTTTGGACAATTAAACCAACACTCCGTATTTGCCACCATCAGGATTTATTTCCACTCAGTGACTCACCCACAGCCCAACCTGAAGGCCCCTCTCCAATTGACCACACTGATTCAAGCTCATATCAGAAAACAGCAGAAAGCAGTTAGAGGGTACGGCGCACTATGATCATGCCAGTGAATAGCCACTACATTCCAGCCTGGGCAATATAGTGACACCCCATCTGTTAAAAAATAAATATGTATCATTTTTCTTTGGAGTTGTATAGTGTATTATATAATCTCATTTGACCCTCACAACCTGAGATAGATAGGGCAGGTATAATTATTTCCATTTTAAAGACAGGGAAACTGAATCTCTGAGAGGTTTAGTCACTTCACGTGTAAAGGGTGAGACCAGATTAGAACCTAGGTCTTCTGACTTCTAGTTGAGTAATAACATGACATTAATTAGGACATGTTTACTTGCACCCATTTTTTACTGAGTGGTAATGATATCATATGATGGTGATATCCTCCAGTAAAGAAATCTGAGTTAATTTCAAATTTACCTAGAAGAACCTGATACTTGAACCTGATAAGGTTCTTATTAAATAAGAACCTTAATTAATTAATTAATTTTTTGAGACAGGGTCTCACCCTGTTGCCCAGGCTGGAGTGCAGTGGTGCAATCTCCACTCACTGCAGCATCCACCTCCCGGGTTGAAGCGATTCTCCTGACTCAGCCACCTGAGTAGCTGGGATTACAGGTGCACGCCACCATGCCCGGCTAATTTTTGTATTTTTAGTAGAGACAGGATTTTGCCATGTTGGCCAGACTGGTCTTGAATGCCTGAGCTCAAGCAATCTGCCCACCTCCATCTCCCAAAGTGCTAGGATTAGAGGTGTGAGTCACCACGCCTGGTCCTGTTCCTAAATTTAAATAGCCACGTTCTGTATTAGATCTGAAAAATTCCAAGCGACATTCTAAAGGCCAAGGGCAAAGCTGAGTATGTGATCTCCTACCTCTTAATTACTTTGGAACTATGACTACCAACCTCGCCACAAAAGTAACTCCTTTTTGCTAAACCAGTGGGCTAGAGTGTCATGTTCTTCCACCCTTGATAAGCATTATAATCAAGTAAAGCAATAAACTTGTCTGTCTCTACCCAATGTACAAAGTCATTGAAATATTGACCCCAAACCATCCAGAACCAGCCAAAGTTGATCAATAACAGAGAGGTCTCTGCTATTAAAGCCCCATTACCATACAATGCTGGTGTTGAAAGGATTTTTAGAAATAATCTAAGGTCAGCCTGGGCTCAGTGGCTCACGCTTGTAATCCCAGCACTTTGGGAGTCTGAGGTGGGTGGATCACTTGAGGCCAGGAGTTTGAGACCAGCCTGGGCAACATAGTGAGAGCCCATCTCTAAAAAAAAAAAAAAAAAGAAGAATAAGAAGGAGAAGAGAAGAAGAAATAATCTAAGGTTAATAGAGATGGCAAAAAGGTTTCCCCTCAAGGGCCAACTCTCACCAGCTGTAATGTTAAAAAGGACTCCGAGGCTGTTTCTATGTCTGGACTTGGTAGGAAAGGCTCCTACGTTTGGTAAGAGATACCTGTCCTGGTCTCTTGACTCCCATGTTGAAGACACTTAACACAAAGTGACAATTTAAGAAACAATTTCCGGCCGGGCGTGGTGACTCACGCCTGTAATCCCAGCACTTTGGGAGGCGGAGGCGGGTGGATCACGAGGCCAGGAGATCGAGACCATCTTGGCTAACACAGTGAAACCCTGTTTCTACTAAAAAAATACAAAAAATTAGCTGGGCTTGGTGGTGGGCGCCTGTAGTCCCAGCTACTCGGGAGGCTAAGGCAAGAGAATGGCGTGAATTAGCGAGACTCCATCTCAAAAAAAAAAAAATTTCCTTAAAAGAAGTAATGATCCAACATAGTACATGCTATAAAACACACAACAAAATGCACATAAGTCTTTCCTCTTTTAGAATGTAACTTATTTCAAGGTAGGAATGTATACGGGGTATGTGTTGGCTATGTATAGGTCCCTCCTACTTGTGTAGGTAGAAGGTTGATTCTCATATGGGAAGTAACTTGCCCAGGGTCACACAGCACTTTATTGGACAAGCTGGGACTTCAATGCAGGTCTCCTAGGGTTCATGGCCATGGATCCTGCTGTCTATGCACAGCCTCCATGGACCTTCCAACCACATACTGATCTCAGTCCAACATCATAGCAAGATGGTGTTACTAAATTGTTTTTCTCTTCTGAACAAAATCTAAGTCTACACCTCAGTTTTCCTCCTTTGGGGTGTCCATTTGTCACTCACAGACAATGTATTAGCCACATGCCATCTCCCTAACCACATACATAGTCCACAACAGACTCAAAAGTGATGGAGCCAAGATTTCATGGGCCAGCCAGTCCTGTTCCCTTTGATGAAAGTTTCTGTCTCTCACTAGTCTGGGAGAAGGCTCAAATTTGTGAGCTTACAGTTTCAGAAGAGGTGGGAGAACCAAAGCGGAGAGCAATCATCTTTCTGCATCAACTCTAACCTGACTGCAGGAATTTTAACAGCAGAATGTGTTGCAAGGTGCTGCTTGTATTGCCCCCTAGTGCTAGAAACAGGAACAACACACTAGGCAAGTCGTAACATTTTCCAGCTGCAAAGAGTTGATCTCAAAGATCTTAATTCAAATCACAACACTTTATTTCACAGTAGAGGAAGGCAAGGTCGGTAGAGGGAAAGGGATTCACCAGAGCCTATGGCAAATTAGTGGTGAAGTCAGAAATAGAACCAAGTTCTGAACTTTGACTCCTATATTCAAGACGCTTATCACAGAGTGATAAACTAAGAAACAATTTCCTTTAAAGAGGGATGATCCAACATAGTACATGCTATACGACAGAGCAAAATGCACTTAAGTCTTTCCTCCGTTAGAATATAAACTATTTAAGGCAGAAACTTTAGTTGATATGCCAAATACCCTTAGGATTAATAAATATTAATGAGAAGGATAATGGTCTTTAACATCTATTGTGCTAGTCCCATTTTCCAGATGTTGGGCTTTAGTAGCACTTGGCTGACACAACCACTACCCCACCTCTTTTTTTCATTCACTCAACAAATACTCATGGAACATCTCCTATGTGTTAGGCACCATTATTGGTGCAGGAGATGCCATAGTGGCCAAAATGGAGTCCCTTCTCTTAGGGAGACCAGACTCTAACTGGGGGAGATGTTTGAGAAACATGTTAATAACCAGATACTTGGTATGTTGGTGTTATGAAATGAATATCTGTGTTCCTCCCACCCCCAAGATTCATATGTTGAAGCCCCAACCCCCAACATGACTGGATGTGGAGATAGGGCCTATAAAGAAGTAATTAAGGTGGCCGGGAGCGGTGGCTCATGCCTGTAATCCCAGCACTTTGGGAGACGGCGGATCACAAGGTCAGGAGATCGAGACCATCCTGGCTAACATGGTGAAACCCCATCTCTACTAAAAATACAAAAAATTAGCCAGGCATGGTGGCACAGACCTGTAATCCCAGCCACTCAGGAGGCTGAGGCAAGAGAATCTCTTGAACCCAGGAGGTGGAGGTTGCAGTGAGCCAAGATCACGCCACTGCACTCCAGCCTGGCAACAGGGCAAGACTCCATCTCAAAAAAAAAAAAGAAAAGAAAAAAAGAAGTCATTAAGGTAAAATAAGGTGTTAAGGGTGGGATCCTGATCCCTTATAAGTATTAGTGCCCTTATAAGAAGCAATACCAGAGAGCGGTCTCTCTCTTTCCCACAAGCATATGGAGAAGAGGTCATGTGAGCACACAGCAAGAAGGTGCCCCGGAGTTCAAGACCAGCCTGGGCAAGATAGTGAGATCCCCATATCTACGAAAAATAAAATAATTAGCCACATGTGGTGGTGTGTGTCTGTAGTCTCAGCTACTTCGTAGGTTGGGGTGGGAGGGTCACTTGAGACCAGGAATTTGAGGCTACAGTAACCCGTGATCGCACCATTACACTCCAGCCTGGGTGACAAAGCAAGACACTGTTTTTAAAACCAAATAAATAAACAAATCCACCAGGCGCAGTGGCTCACGCCTGTAATCCAAGAGTTTTGGGGGACCAAGGCAGGTGGATCACCTGAGGTTAGGAGTTCGAGACCAGCCTGGCCAACATGGCAAAACCCCGTCTCTACTAAAAATACATAAATTAGCCGGGCGTGGTGGCATGCGCCTGTAGTCCCAGCTACTCGGGAAACTGAGACAGGAGAATTGCTTGAACCCAGGAGACAGAGATTGCAGTGAACTGAGATCATGCCACTGCACTTCAGCCTGGGTGACAGAGCAAGACTCTGTCTCAAAAATAAATAAATAAAAATAAAAATAAATAAACAAACTTACAACCTCTCTTCTGGGGAAAGCAAGGAATGATCCTGTTTCAGCAGGTTCTCATGCCTCCCCCGACACCCCTCTTCTCTTTCCTGTCATCTGCAAGTTTCCACTAAAGCTACTTTCTCCCAGAAATACTTGTTTCCTCCTCTGAACTCCCACAGAAAGCTCTCCACATCTTTCTAATGTATCTCAACACAGTTCTACATTGTATTAATGACCTTCGGTTCCCTCGTTGTCTGTGAGCTTCTAGAGAACAGGGCTCCGTGTGCGATCATTAGGGAGTGGGCAAGGGAAACAGTATAATGAAATGGGAAAAGTATAGACCAGTGTGATCCAATGGAACTTCCACAATGATGGAAATGTTCCACACTTGTGCATCACTTGATGAGGAACGCCTTCTGAGAAATGCATCATTAGGCGATTTCACCATGTGAGCCTGGAGGGCATTTGCACAAACCTAGCTGGTGTAGCCTACTCTACACCTAGACTATATGGTGTAGCCTATTGCTCCTAGGCTACAAAACTGTAAAGCATGTTGTTGCACTGAATACTGTAGGCAATTGTAATGCAATGGCAAGTATTTGTGTATCTAAACACATCTAAACATAGAGAAGATACAGTAAAAATACAGTATTATAATGTTATGGGAAGACTTTTGTCTATGCCGTCTATCATCTACTGAAATGTCATTACATGGTACATGACTGTAGTTGCACTGCCCTATGCTATGGCCAGTACCCAGCTATGGCTGTTGAGTGCTTGAAAGGTGGCTCATGGGGCTGTGGAATTGAATTTTTAATTTTATGGGTTTTTTTGTTTGTTTGTTGTTGTTGTTGTTGTTGTTGTTGTTGTTGTTTGAGACGGAGTCTCGCTCTATCCCCCAGGCTGGAGTGCAGTGGCGCAATCTCGGCTCACTGCAAGCTCTGCCTCCCAGGTTCATGCCATTCTCCTGCCTCAGCCTCCCGAGTAGCTGGGACTACAGGCGCCCGCCACCATGCCCGGCTAAATTTTTTTCATTTATTTTAATAGAGACGGGGTTTCACCGTGTTAGCCAGGATGGTCTCGATCTCCTGACCTCGTGATCCGCCTGCCTCGGCCTCCCAAAGTGCTGGGATTACAGGCTTGAGCCACCGTACCCGGCTTAATTTTATGTTAATTGTTATTAATTAAAGTATTTATTTACTTCTTCATTCACTCATTCATTTACTTATTTTTGAGACAGGGTCTCATTCTGCCACCCAGGCTGGAGTGCAGTGGCATGATCATAGCTACTGCAGCCTTGAACTCCTGGGCTCAAGCAATCCTGCCACCTCAGCCTCCTGAGTGGCTGGGACTAACTGAGACTCCTGTGCACCACCATGCCTGACTAATTTTTAAACAATTTTTTTGTATAGATGGGGTCTCACTATATTGCCCAGGCTGATCTTGAACTCCTGGCCTTAAGCAATTCTCTTGCCTCAGCCTCTTCCAAAGTGCTGGGATTATAGGTGTGAATCACAACACTTGGCCTGTTGTTAATTAATTAATTTATTTATTTTTATTTTATTTTTTGAGATGGAGTCTTACTCACTCTGTTGCCCAGGCTGGAGTGCAGTGGCACCATCTCGGCTCACTGCAACCTCCGTCTCCTCGATTCAATCGATTCTCCTGCCTCACCTTCCCGAGAAGCTGGGATTACAGGCACCCGCCACCATGCTCACCTAATTTTTGTATTTTTAGTAGAGACAGAGTTTCACAGCATTGGTCAGACTGGTCTTGAACTCCTGACCTCAAGTGATCCTTCCGCCTCAGCCTCCCAAAGTGCTGGGATTACAGGTGTGAATCACACCACTCAGCCTGTTATTAATTAAATTTAAATAGCCCGGTGGGCCCAGTGGCCACTGTATTAGGTAGCACAGGGCTAGACTTTGAAGAAAGGAAATTGACCCTCAGTTCTACCACTCATAAGCTCTCAGGAAGCCCTGTCCACTCTACTTCCCAAATGTGTTCCAGATCCATTGCCCCCTCCTGTCCCCATGCCACTCTTGCCTAGCTCACTGCCACAGACTGGTCCAGGTTGTTCTCTTGCTCCTAGCCTGATCTTTCAGATAAAAAATCTGGTCCTGGGCTGGGCGTGGTGGCTCACACCTGTAATCCCAGCACTTTGGGAGGCTGAGGCAGGTGGATCACTTGAGGTCAGGAGTTCGAGACCAGCCTGGCCAAATAGTGAAGCCCTGTCTCTACTAAGAATATAAAAATTAGCCATGCATGGTGGTGGGTGCCTGTAATCCCAGCTACCCAGGAGGCTGAGGCAGGAGAATTGCTTGAACCTGGGAGGTGGAGGTTGAGGTGAGCCGAGATCGCACCATTGCACTCCAGCCTGGGCAACAGAGCGAGACTCCGTCTCAAAAAAAAAAAAAAAAATCAAATCTGGTCCTGTTTCTTCTGTACTGAAAATACTTCAGTGTCCCTTACTGACCATAGTGGTTTCTCATACCCGGAACTAATGACATATTCTTGGCGCTCCTTGAGTTCTTTTTTCCGTTTGTTTGTTTTTTGAGGCAGAGTCTTGCTCTGTCACCCAAACTGGAGTGCAGTGGCACGATCTCGGCTCACTGAAACCTCCACCTCCAGCATTCAAGCAATTCTCCCGCCTCAACCTCTCAAGTAGCTGGGATTACAGGCGCATTCCACCATGCCCGGCTAATTTTTTTTGTATTTTTAGTAAAGACGGGGTTTCACCATTTTGGCTACACTGATCTTGAACACCTGACCTCAAGTGATCCACCCACCTGGGCCTCCCAAAATGCTGGGATTACAGGCATGAACCACCGTGCCTGGACCCCTGAGTTCTTTATGATAATCTTTGTTTTCTTTTCTAAAATTTCAAACCTACAGAAAAGTGGAAAGAACAGTATGTATAGCTTTCATTGGCATTGCAAATTATTAACTTCTACCCTTTCTGTTTCACTTTTCCTGAACCATTTGAAAGTAAGTTGCAGATATGAAGACTAAAGCAACAACAACAACAACAGCAACAACAACAAACTCCTAAGCACTCAGGCTGGGAGCGGTGGCTCAAGTCTATAATCCCAGCACTTTGGGAGGCTGAGGCAGGAGGATCACTTGAGGCCAGGAGTTCGAGACCAGCCTGCACAACATGGCGAATCTCTGTCTCTACTAAAAATACAAATATTAGTCACGGTGGTGCACTCCTGTAGTCTCAGCTACGGGTGGCTGAGGCACAAGAATCACTTGAACTCAGGAGGCAGAAGTTGCAGTGAGCCGAGATCACGCCACCATACTCCAGCCTGGGCGACAGGGCGAGACTCTGTCTCAAAAACAAACAAACAAACAAACCAAAAAACTCCTAAGCACTCAAAATACATCTCCTAAGAATAAGGACATTTTCCTATACAACCACAATATCATTCTGGTTATGATAATTTTAACTTTTGTTTTAATAATGTAAATAACACCATGTAAACATATTCTGGAACATCTAGATGGCCTCATTATATTACAGTACTGTCTCTCAAATTCAGTGCCTTTAGTAGACAGGATAGGCTAGATTATGCTGCAGGTAACAGCCCCAGCCTGGGCAACATAGGAGACTCCATCTCTACCAAAAGTCTTTGAAAATTAGCCAAGTGTGGTGCTGTGCACCAGTAGTTTTAGCTACTCGGGAGGCTGAGGCAGAAAGATCGCTTGAGTTCAGGAATTGAAGGCTGCAGTGTGCCATGATCACGCCACTGCATTCCAGCCTGGGCAACAAAGGGAGACCCTGTATCAAACAAAAAGAAAAAGAATGAAATCATGTTATTTACACTAACATGGATGGAACTGGAGGTCATTATGGTATAATTGAAATAAGTCAGGCACAAAAAGACGAATATTGGATGTCCTCACTCGTGTGGGAGCTAAAAAGCTGATCTCAAAGAGTCAAAGAATAGAATGCCATGTACTGGAGGCTGGGATGGGTGTATGGACGGGAGGGGGGTGATGAAGAGAGGTGGGTTATCAAACATACAGTTAGATAGAAAAAGTTCTAATGTTTGATGGCAGAGTAAAGTGACTATACTTAGCAACGATGGACTGTGTATTTCAAAGCAGCTAGAAGAGAGGACTTGAAATGTTCCCAACACTTAGAAATGGTAAGTCCTCGGGCTGGGCATGGTGGCTCACACCTGTAATCCCAGCACTTTGGGAGGCCAAGGTAGGTGGATCACCTGAGGTCAGGAGTTCAAGACCAGCCTGGCCAACATGGTGAAACCCTATCTCTGCTAAAAATACAAAAATTAGCTGGGCATGGTGGCAGGCACCTGTAATCCCAGCTACTCGGGAGGCTGAGGCAGGAGAATCGCTTGAACCCAGGAGGCCGAGGTTGCAGTGAGCAGAGATGGAGCCGCTGCACTCCAGCCCCTCCAGCCTGGGTGACACAGCAAGACTCCGTCGAAGGGAAGGGAAGGGAAGAGAGGGGAGGGGAGGGGAGGGGAGGAGGGGAGGGGAGGGGAGGAGACGACGGGAGGGGAGGGGGGAGGGGAAGGAAGGGAAGGGAAGGAGGGAGGAAGGAAGGAAGAAGGAAGGAAAGGAAAGGAAGAAGGAAAAGAAAGAAAAGAAAGAACTGGTAAGTCCTCAAGGTGATGGATACCCCAAATACCCTGACTTGATCATTACACATTCTGTGCCTGTAACAGATACTCACATGTCCCCATCAATATGTGAAATATATGTCCCCATCAATATGTGAAATATTATGTATCAATTTATAAAACGTGTACTGCTGCAAGGCGCAGTGGCTTACAGGAATTTGAGACCAGCCTGGTCAACATGGCAAAACCCCATCTCTACCAAAAATACAAAAATTAGCCAGGCGTGGTGGTGCGCACCTAAAGTCCCAGCTACTCTGGAGGCTGAGGCAGAAGAAGAATCACTTGAACCCAGAGGACAGAGTTTGCAGTGAGCCAAGATCGCACCACCACACTCCAGCCTGGGCAACAGAGACTCTGTCTCCAAAAAAAAAAAAAAAAAACGTGTATTGCTACCTCACACTATATATCCATTACATGGCACCTGGCAGTTTCACATCACCTCCCTCCAAAAGCCAGGATGACACCAAAGTAGACTTTTTTTTTTTTCTTTTTTTTGGATACAGAGTCTCACTATGTTACCCAGGCTGGTCTCAAACTCCTGGCCTCAAGCAATCCTCCCACCCTTGGCCTCCTGAGTCGCTGGGATTACAGGCATGAGCCAGCATGCCTGGCAGTAGCCCTCATTTTGAATATTGCTGGTTGCCATTTTGAATATGGCTGGTTGCCATGACAGAGGGAGATAGAACTCTCAAAAGGTCTCGCACCAGCTATTCTATGCTCTGGCCCAGCTCACAGCTCATTAGCCAGTACTAGGTGCCCAGAAGTCAGAGCATAGAGATTTGGGTGAGCAAAATTAATGGCATGTGTTTGTGATGGTCATGGAGATGAGATAGAGCTAACTTTAATTGTCATGGGCAATAAGAACAGAACACAGTGGGGCCCAGTGGCTCACGTCTGTAATACCAACACTTTGAGAGGTCGAGGTGGGAGGATCTTCTTGAGGCCAGAAGTTCAAGACCAGCCTGGGCAACACAGCAAGTTCTTGTCTCTACAAAAAAAATTTAAAAATTAGCTGAGTGTGGTGACGCATGGCAGGCCGAGACCAGAGTATCACCTGGGCCCAGGAGTTTAAGGATGTAGTGAGCTATGATAGTGCTACTGCACTCCAGCCTGGGTGACAGAGCAAGACTCTATCTCTAAAAATAATAAATAAATAAATAAATAAATAAATAAATGATTTTATTCAAAAGCTTCTCCTAGCACCTTCTGTTGACACCTCATTGGTAAGATCTCAGTCACGTGGTCAACTATGGCTGCAAAAGAGCCATGGGAAATACCGTTTTTCTAGCTAGGTACACAGCTGTCCTAATGAAGTAAATTGAAATTCTGTTATTCTAATTTAGTAAGAAAGAATAGACATTAAGAGGTCTCTAAGCAGGCCGGGCGTGGTGGCTCACGCCTGTAATCCCACGACCTTGGGAGGCCGATGCAGGTGGATCAATTGAGGTCAGGAGTTTGAGACCAGCCTGACCAACATGGCAAAACCCCATGTCTACCAAAAGTACAAAAATTAGCCAGGCGTGGCAGCAGTTGCTGTGATCCCAGCTCCTCTGGAGGCTGAGGCAGGAGAATCGCTTGAACCTGGGAGACAGAGGTTGCAGTGAGTCCAGGTCGCACCATTGCACTCCAGCCTGGGTGGCAGAGTGAAACTCCCTCTCAAAAAGAAAAAAAAAAAAAGGCCGGGTGCGGTGGCTCATGCCTGTAATCCCAGCACTTTGGGAGGCTGAGGCGGGTGGATCACCTGAGGTCAGGAGTTCGAGACCAAACTGAACAACATGAAGAAACCCTGTCTCTACCAAAAATAAATTAGCCAGGCATGGTGATACATGCCTGTAATCCCAGCTACTTGGGAGGCTGAGGCAGGAGAATTGCTTGAACCTGGGAGGTGGAGGTTGCAGTGAGCTGACATCACGCCATTGCACTCCAGCCTGGGCAACAAGAGTGAAACTCCGTCTCAAAAAAAATAAAGAGTTCTCTAGGCAGCAGTGTCTGCCACAGGCTGCCTGCCTTTATGCAAGATGTTTTCTTTACCAGAAATGCCCTTCTGGATATAGCCAACCCCCATCCAAGCTACACTTCCCCTATGTTATATGTGAAATGTTTATTTAGAAACAGAATGCTTGTTCCCTGATGCTGTAAAGAAATAGCACTCAAACATAAATTTAATTCTCTCAGCAAGGCAATTTTTACTTTCTGCAGAAAGGGTGCTCACTGCAGATGGAACAATGGCAAGAGCACACCTGAATAAAGGAGGGAAGCAATTTTTATCCCTTACACAGTTCGTCCCTGCTACTGTGTCCCGTCTCCATTGGCTGGAGCCAGACCTCAAAATTTAAACTAAAACCTGATTGGCTAATAACATTAAACTTTTCTAAATAGGTAAAAGCAATGGAAAGACAAAGGAAAAGAGGAAGCTGCTTATGAAAGGATTTTTAAAAAGTAATAATATTCCTAAATAAGGAATGGGTATAGGCTGCGAGCTGGGACATGCCTGTGAGCACGTCCAGCACAGATACCTTGGTTAAAGTACTACATAGAATGTACTACCTGCCTGTGAGCATGTCTAGCATAAAGTTAATCTTTAAAAGAAACTATTATTTTTAACAGTTGTGATTTATTCTTTAACAAGAAAGGAAACTTTGAAGAGGAACTTTTACTTTCTACACCCTATTTCACAAAGGTCTCCTTGACTTCACAGTTTTATCAATCCCTGTCCACACCGAACTCCTTGAGGGTAAGGACTGTGTCTTATTTATCTTATGTATCCATATGCCTTTGCCTGGCACAGAATAGACCCCTAGTAAATATTTGAATTAGTGGGGACTTGAACGTGCTATTGTTTATTAATCATAAAAATGTGACTCACCCCAATCATGAGATCAGGGCCATAGTGAATCCACCTTGGCTTTCCCCACTGTGCCTGGCCCAGAGCAGATGTTCCAGCTGGAACACACTCCATCCAGCCCCACCTTCCCTGGCTTTCCTGAGGCAGATCCGTTTTGTAGATCATAGTACTGGACAGGATTTGGCAGGTTTCTGGCCTGGGTCGTTCCTTATAGAGCTGTGAGAGGTACATGTGAAAAGAGCCTCATGTGAGGTCATACAGCGAGTTAGCAGCAGTGCACATATCAGACCCAGAGCTTCAGCTTCCCAACCCAAGGACATTCATTCAGTGACTATGCTCCAAAGTCATGCTGGCTTCCTTTCAGGCCCAAGGCTAGGATGGCTAAGATTGCCCCAAAAGATGACCCCAGGATTAAGTAAGCTGTAACAGTATGTTAAAGCTACTTTTTTTTCTTTTTTTCTTTTTTTTTTTTTTTTTTTTTGAGATGGAGTCTCACTCTGTTGCCCAGGCTGGAGTGCTGTGGCATGATCTCAGCTCACTGTGACCTCCACCTCCCAGGTTCAAGTGCTTCTCCTGCCTCAGCCTCCTGAGTAGCTGGTATTACAGGCATGTGCCACCATGCCTTGCTAATTTATTTTTAGTGGGGACGGGGTTTCACCATGTTGGTCAGGCTGGTCTCGAACTCCTGACCTCAACTGATCCACCTGCTTCGGCCTCCTAAAGTGCTGGGATTACAGGTGTGAGCCACTGCGCCTGGCCTACTTTCTTTTTTAACAGAGAGAGCTGGCCAGGCGCAGTGGCTCACACCTGTAATCCCAGTACTTTGGGAGGCCGAGGCAGGTGGATCATGAGGTCAGGAGATGGAGACCATCCTGGCTAACACAGTGAAACCCCATTTCTACTAAAAATACAAAAAATTAGCCAGGTGTGGTGGTGGGCGCCTGTAGTCCCAGCTACTTCGCAGGCTGAGGCAGGAGAATGGCATGAACCCGGGAGGCGGACCTTGCAGTGAGCTGAGATGGTACCACTGCACTCCAGCCTGGGCAACAGAGCGAGACTCTGTCTCAAAAAACAAAAAACAGAGACAGCCTCACTCTGTCGACCAGGCTAGAGTGCAGTCTCTCAATCATGGCTCATTGCAGCCTCGAATTCCTGGGCTCACATGACTCTCCCACATCAGCTTCCGAAATAGCTGGTAATTCCAGCCTCTGGAACTACAGATGTGTGCCATCATGCTGGGCTAATTTTTATCATTTTTATTTTATTTTGTTTTGTTTTGTTTTGTTTTTAGAGATAGGCTCATGCTGTGTCACCAGGCTGGAGTGCAGTGGCACAGCCATAGCTCACTGTAACCTCAAACTGCTGGGTTCAAGCGATTTTCCTGCCACAGCTTCCAGAGTAGCTGAGACTACAGGTGCATGGCACCATTCTCGGCTAATATATATATATTTTTTAATAGAAATGGGGTCTCACTATGTTGTCCAGGATGGTCTCAAACTCTCGGCCTCAAGAGATTCTCCTGCCTTGGCTTCCCAGAGTGTTGAGATTACAGGTGTGAGACACTGCACTCAGCCTGCTACTTTTAATTCCACTAAAATAAGTGCCAATGTTCACTGAGGGAAAAAATGACAGAAAAATTGCTGTTACTAAACTCATGGCTTTTACATTTTATTTGATAAATTTGTCTCTCACCTTAAGGAACTATTTTTGTTTGTTTGTTGTTGTTGTTTTTGAGATAGAGTCTTACTCTGTCACCCAGGCTGGAGTACAGTGGCATGATCTTGGTTCACTGCAACCTCTGCCACCCAGGTTCAAGTGATTCTGCTGCCTCAGCCTCCCACGTAGCTGGGACTACAGGCACCCATTACCATACCTGACTAATTTTTGTATTTTTATTAGAGACAGGGTTTCACCATGTTGGCCAGACTGGTCTCGAACTCCTGACCTCAAGTGATCTTCCCACCTCAGCCTCCCAATGTGCTAGGATTACAGGTGTGGCAACCTCACATGGCCTGTTCTTCTTCTTCTTCTTCTTCTTCTTCTTCTTCTTCTTCTTCTTCTTCTTCTTCTTCTTCTTCTTCTTCCTCTTCCTCTTCCTCTTCTTCTTCTTCTTCTTCTTCTTCTTCTTTCTTCTTCTTCATTTTTTACAGAGTCTTGCTGTGTCACCTAGGCTGGAGAGTAGTGGTGTGATCATAGCTCACTGCAGCCAGCTTCAAATCCCTGGGATCAAGCGATCCTCTGCCTCAGCCTTTCAAGTAGAAAGAGCTGCTCATTCTAAGAAACACAGTGCTTAGTTCCTGCCAAAGCTTCTAAATTCCATAAGTCTCTCCTCACCTTGGTACTTCCAAATTCAAAGGTTCCCCAAACATACACACACCTCCAAACATATATATGCCCAGAATAAAACCTGGAAGGAAAAACATAAAATATCAATAGTGGATTTTTCTGTAAGTGGTAGAAACACAGGTGATTTTCATTTTCTTTTTGGTTTGCTTTTTAATTTTCCAAGTTTTCTACAATCAACATGTATTACTTTTATAAGTAGAATAAAAGCACTAAAAACAATAAATAAACCTAATGTTTGGAGAGGGAGAAGAAGTCACCAATATGCTTAAACTTGTGCTATTACAATGATGCATCTATGATTTACTCATTCACTCAACATGTGTATCCTGAGCACCTATGTGCCAAGCACTTTGTTGGGTACAAGGGTTGTTACAATGAATAAGACAAACATGGTCCCTCCCTTAACGGAAACTTTTTATCTTCTTTATTTTCCAAAGTTACTGTGATATATGTATATTGCTTACATTCTCTTCCTTTCCTTCCTTTCTTTCCTTTCTTTCCTTCCTTCCCCTCCCTCCCTCCATCGCTCTCTCTCTCTCTCTCTCTTTCTTTCTTTTCCAGAGTCTCATTCTGTCACCCAGGCTGGAGTGCAGTGGCGTGATCTCAGCTCACTGCAACCTCCACCTGCCAGGTTCAAGTGATTCTCCTGCCTCAGCCTCTTGAGTAGCTGGGATTACAGACGTGTGCCACCACGCCTGGCTAAATTTTGTATTTTTAGTAGAGATGGGATTTCACCATGTTGGCCAGGCTTTTGGGTCTGGCTGCTTTCACTTAACACAATGCTTTCAAGGTCCATCCATGTTGTATGTCATTCCTGTTTATTGCTGAATAATATTCCGTTGTATGAATAGACCACATTTGTTTATCCATTCAATATTGGTTATTATGCATAATGCTACTATGAATATTCATATGTTTAGTGCAGACATAAGTTTTCAATTCTCTTGAGTATATACCTAGGAGTGGAATTGTTGGATTATATGATAACTATGTTTAACTCTTAAGGAATTGCCATACGTGTTTTCAAAGCAGCCACACCATTTTGTATTTCTACCAGCAATATATGAGAGTTCCAATTTCTCCACATGTTGAAGAACACTTCTTGTTTTCTCTCTTTGTGATTACAGCCATCCTAGTGGATATGAAGTTGTATCTCACTGTGGTTTTGATTTGCATTTCCCTAATAACTAATGATGTTTAATGTCTTTTTTTTTTTTTCCAGACAGAGTCTTGCTCTGTTGCCCAGGCTAGAGTGCAGCTGCGTGATCTCGGCTCACTGTAACCTGCGCCTCCCAGGTTCAAACAATTCTCCTGCCTCAGCCTCCCGAGTACCTGGGACTACAGGCACCCGCCACCACACCTGGCTAATTTTTTGTATTTTTAGTAGACACGGGGTTTTGCCATGTTAGCCACGATGGTCTCTATCTCCTGGTGATCCACCTGCCTCTTGGGATTACAGGCGTGAGCCACCATGCCAGGCCTGTTTAATGTCTTTCATGTGATTACTTACCATTTGTGTATCTTCTTTGGAGAAATATGTATTCAAATCCTTTACCCATTTTTAATAGTTTTAATAACAAATTGTTATTTGTCTTTTATTGTTTAGTTGTAAGAGTTCTTTATATAGTCTGGATACTAAACCCTTATCAGATATATGATTTGCAAATATTTGCTTCCATCCATTCTGTGGGTTGTTTTTTCACTTTCTGTTTTTTGTTTTGTTTTGTTTTGTTTGTTTTTCTTGTTTTTTTTTCAAGATGGGATCTCAATCTGTTGCCCAGGCTGGAGTGCAGTGGTGTGATCAGATCGTAGCCCACTGTAGCCTCAAACTCCTGGACTCAAGCCAGCCTCCCACCTCAGCCTTTCAAGTAGCTGGAACTACAGATATGTGCCACCATGCCCTGCTAATTTTATTTTATTTTTCATAGAGACAGGGTCTTGCTGTGTTGCCCAGGCTGATCTCAAACTCCTGGCTTCAAGCGATCCGCTTGCCTCGCTCTCCCAACATGCTGGGATACAGGCGTGAGCCACTGCACCTGGCCGGTTTTCTTTCTTTCCTTATTATTTATTTATTTATTTATTTTTGAGACAGAGTTTTACTCTGGAGTACAATGGTGCGATCTTGGCTCACTGCAACCTCCGCTTCCCAGGTTCAAGCGATTCGCCTGCCTCAGCCTTCCCAAGTAGCTGGGATTACAGGCATGCACCACCATGCCCGGCTAATTTTGTGTTTTTAGTAGAGATGGGGTTTCTCCATGTCGGTCAGGCTGGTCCTGAACTCCCGACCTCAGGTGATCTGCCCGCCTCGGCCTCCCAAAGTGCTGGGATTACAGGTATGAGCCATCGCACCCGGCCCTTTCTTTCCTTATTTTTAAGTTTTATTTATTTATTTTAGAGGAGTCTTGCTCTGTTGCCCAGGTGGTAGTGCGGTGGCTATTCACAGGCATGATCATGGGGCACTGTAACCTTGAACTCCTAGGCTCAAGTGATCCTCCCTGCTCATCCTGAGTAGCTGGGACTGCCTTTTCACATTCTCGATGGTGTCCTTTGATGCACAAAAGTTTGAAATTTTGATGAAGTCCAACCTCATCACTTTGCATTTTGCCTTTTTTCTCAGCCCCTTGCTTTGGCCTGCTTGTGATGGACTGAAGCAACATCAGTGCTGCCACTGTGAGAACTTCAGGAAGCTTCTTCTGTTCTCATCTATTTGCAGCATTTTTGTACAAGTTGCTTCACATTTTTTGCCCTTGCCGTAACCTCTCCTACTCAAAGCGGTTTTTATATTGGGCACATTCTAATTTATTATTAGGCTCTAGTCAGGAGCAACCCACATTTTCAACTGATGTTTGTTGATTTCAACATCCATATGTACAATGCCCAGGTTTGGCCACCAGGTTCCTGAAAAGTTCTTTTGCCTGCTGGTGGTAACTATACATTTCCTCTGGTGAAACGGAATAAATTAGTAGGATTTCCACATCCTGGACAATGCCAACTTCTACTGCAAAAAGTTCTAAGGCCGCACACGGTGGCTCATACCTGCAATCCCAATGCTTTGTGAGGCCAAGGTGGGAGGATTACTTGAGGCCAGGAATTCGAGACCAGCCTGGGCAACATAGCAAAACCCTGTTTTTACAAAGAATTTTTTTTTTGTTTTTAGTTAGCCAGATGTGGTGGCATGCTGCCATAGTCCCAGCTACTTGGGAGATTAAGGTGGGAGGATTGCTTGAGTCCAGGAGGTTGACGCTGCAGTGAGCCATGATTGTACCATTGCACTCTAGCCTGGGCAACAGAGTGAGACACTGTCTCAAAAAAAAAAAAAAAAAAAAAGCCAGGCCTGGTGGCTCATGCCTGTAATCCCAGCACTTTGGGAGGCCAAGTAATCCCAGCACTTTGGGAGGCCAAGGCAGGTGACCTAAGGTCAGGTGTTTGAGACCAGCCTGACCAACATGGTGAAACCCCGTCTCTACTAAAAATACAAAAATTAGCCAGGCTTGGTGGTGCATGCCTGTAATCCCAGCTATTTGGGAAGCTGAGGCAGGAGAATCACTTGAATCCAGGAGGTGGAGGCTGCAGTGAGCCGAGATTGCACCGCTGCAGTGAGCCAAGATTGAGCCACTGCACTCCAGCCTGGGTGGCAGAGTGAGAGTGAGACCTGTCTCAAAAAAATAAAAACAAAAATAAAGTTCTAAAAAATACAGACGTGTCATTTCAAATTCTCCAAGAAGCAGGGGCAAAGAAGGGATTAGACGTACAAGATTTGTGGAAGAAACACCAATGGATGATAAAGAGAGGCAGAGGAGGCAGGGGGTCCTTTAGACCTCGAAGCAGGTCTACTCCTGTGAAAAGAAACGGGCAGGAAGGTTTAGGTAAGAAGAGCCTCAGAGGGCCCTGCACATCTAATAAAGTTTCAGCCAGGCTAATGGAGAGTCCTTGAGCCAAAGCTGACTGTTCTAGGTGTCCTGTGTCTCCCAGGAATGGGCCAGTACCCCATGTGCTCTGTCACTGGCTGGCTGGGAAGCCTCAGTGCAAACTCAAATGCTGAGTGGACCCAGGCGGGGCAGCACCTGGGGCTGCCAGTCTATTATGTTCTCTACAACAGTAAAGTTGAGTGGTGCATTTTCTGTTTTTTATTTGTTTAAGATGGAGTCTCGCTCTTGTTGGCCAGACTGGAGTGCAATGGCACCATCTCTGCTCATTGCAACCTCTGCCTCCTGGGTTCAAGCAATTCTCCATCCTCAGCCCCCCAAGTAGCTGTGATTACAGGCACCCGCCACCATGCCCGCCTAATTATTGTATTTTTAGTAGAGACGGGGTTTCGCCATGTTGTCCGGGCTGATCTGGAACTCCTGACCTCAGGTGATCCACCCACCTCGGCCTCCCAAAGTGCTGGGATTACAGGCATGAGCCACCTTGCCTGGCCAAGTGGTGCATTCTCATGACTACAATACAGCATATTCAATTTTTAGATAAAAGGACCTTGGCTGGGCATGGCAGCTCACGGCTGTCATCCTTGGGAGACTGATGCAGGAGGATCACTTGAAGCCAGGAGTTCGAAACCAGCCTGGGCAACATAGGGAGACCCTGTTTCTCTCTCTTTTTTTTTTTTTTTTTTTTTTTTGAGATGGAGTTTCACTCTGTCACCCAGGCTGGAGTGCAGTGGTGCCATCTCGGCTCACTGCAACCTCCACCTCCTGGGTTCAAGCAATTCTCCTCCCAAGTAACTGGGCCTCCCAAGTAACTGGGATTATAGATGTGCACCACCACGCCCAGCTATTTTTGTATTTTTAGCAGAGACGGAGTTTTACCATGTTGGCCAGGCTGGTCTCAAACTCCTGACCTCAGGTGATCCACCTGCCTCAGCCTCCCAAAGTGCTGGGATTACAGGCATGAGCCGCTGCACCTGGCCGACCCTGTCTTAAAGACAAATAAAACAAAAAAACAAAACAAACAAACAAAAAGGACTTCTAAACTCCTCCCCCTATAGTGTCTGCAGTCCAACGGTCAAAGTCAGACACTGACCATCCTGTGCTCTTCTCCCTCCCACCCACTGCCCAGGGTCGAGGAGGGAGCAACAACTATTAAGGGTCGAGTAGATGTCCAGGCCTGAGCTGCATGCTTTTTAAACTCCATTTAACCATCAAAGTGACTTTTGTGAAGTAGGTATTGTCTGACTTACTTCATAGTGATGTGGTGGGTGGCTGAGCCTAGCTGCCTGGGGGCAGGGGCAAGCTGGTATCTGGAGTTTTTGGCTTCTGGAGTGGGAAGCAGGCTCTTCCAAGATTATATAGTAAGGAACTCCATAAACAGAGAAAGGGGGACATCCAAGCGCTGGGCAGGAGAAGAAAAAAAAAAGGAAAGAAACAGAAATGTCTCTTCCACGTTTCCTTCCTTCCTTCCTTCCTTTCTTTCCTTCTTTCTGCCATTTCTTTCTTATTTTATTTTTCGAGATGGAGTCTCGCTCTGTTGCCCAGGCTGGAGTGCTGTGGTGTGATCTCTGTTCACTGAAAGCTCCGCCTCCTGGGTTCACGCCATTCTCCTGCCTCAGCCTCCTGAGTAGCTGGGACTAAGGCGCCCGCCACCACACTCGGCTAATTTTTTTTTTTTTTGTATTCTTAGTAGAGACGGGGTTTCACTGTGTTAGCCAGAATGGTCTCGATCTCCTGACCTCGTGATCCTCCCGCCTTGGCCTCCCAAAGTGCTGGGATGACAGGCGTGAGCCACCGCACCCAGCTGTCTTTCTTTCTCTCTTTCTTTCTCTCTCTCTTTCTCTTTCTTTCCTCTCTCTCTTTCCTTTCTTTCTTTTCCTCCTCCACTCCCCTCCCCTCCCCTCCCCTTCCCTTCCTCTTTCTTTTCTTTTTCTTTTTTTTTTTTTTTTTGATACAGGGTCTCACTCTGTCGTCCAGGCTAGAATACAATGGTGTGATCATGGCTCACTGCAGCCTGGGCCTCCCAGGGCCAAGCGATCTTCCCGCCTCAGCCTCCTGAGTAGCTGGGACTACACGTGCAATCCACCACGCCCAGCAAATTTTTTGTATTTTTTGCAGAGATGGGGTTTCGCCATGCTGCCCAGGCTGGTCTCAAACTCCTGGGCTCAAACGATCCACCCACTTTGGCCTCCCAAACTGCTAGGATTAAAGGCTTGAGCCACTGCGCCTGGCCACCTTCTGTTTTCTGACCCAGACCCCTGCCCAGGCAGCACTGCAACTCTCTCCTTTGTGTCCCTGCCCTGACTGCAGCCCTCATCATGCTACTGGTGGTTGCTTAGATTTACCTTCCCTTGTTTTAAGTCTTTGGCTGTGTGGATACAGTCTTTGTTATCATTCATTCTCGCAGCCCTGTAGACCCTGGGGACTTAGTGGTAAATGAGATAGGCACCACCCCTGCGCTGCCAGAGCTTCAAGCCTAGCAGGAAACCAACAATAAAACACAATGGGCCAGGTGTGGTGGCTCAAGCCTGTAATCCCAGCAGTTTGGGAGGCCGAGGCGGGTGGATAGCCTGAGCTCAAGAGTTCAAGACCAGCCTGGGCAACACGGCAAAACCCTGTCTCTACAAAAAGTACAAAAAATTAGCCGGATGTAGTGGTGCATGCCTGTGGTCCCAGCTGCTTGGGAGGCTGAGATGGGAGGATCGCTTCAGCCTGGGAGGTGGAGGTTGCAGTGAACTGAGACTGTGCCACTGCACTCCAACCTGAGTGACAGAGCAAGACCCTCATCTGACACACACAATGGATATGAAGATGGGGTGTACAGAGTCTATGGATGGGCGCAGCAAAGGAATGAAGCTGGGGTCAGGAACAGAAGTATATGGAAGGCTTATAGGCTCTAGAAGGGACAGCTATCATTTTCCCTGCCTGGCATGTTCTCCCCTGTCTGCCCACCTGTCCTCACCTTCTGTGGTCCAGGTGAAGCTCTCAATCATAGTGCTCTGTCCCTCTCCCACCACCATCCCGCTGGACTTGTGATTCAAGCTGGCCAGTCAGACCACCCATCCCCATGTCCACAGAGACTGGCTTAGGACGTGGGTATGTAAGCCCAGTAGAACCAATCAAAGACTTCTCTGAGGCTTGATATAAGGAAACTGGGAAACAGGGGGCTTCACTTCGTCTAAGATCATAAGCTGTAAGGACAGTGTAAGGTGGAGCTGCTTGCCATTTTCCCAGGCCAGGTGGAGGAAGCCATCTGCAACAGGCAACAGCAAGGCTGACGCACAAAGGGAAGAAAATAAAGATGGAGTTGGGGGAGCCCTAGTGATATCTTTTTTTTTTTTTTTTGAGATGGAGCTCTGTCACCCAGGTTGGAGTGGTGCAGTGGCACAATCTTGGCTCACTGCAGCCTCCGCCTCCCAGGCTCAAGCGCTTCTTGTGTCTCAGCCTCCCGAGTAGCTGGGATTACAGGCGTGTGTCACCATGCCCAGCTAATTTTTGTATTTTTAGTAGAGATGGGGTTTCTGCATGTTGGCCAGGCTGGTCTCGAACTCCTGACCTCAAGTGATCCACCTGCCTCAGCCTCCCAAGATGCTGGGATTGCAGGTGTGAGCCACTGGTGCCCGGCCCCTGGTGATATCTTTTAAGTTCCTGGATCCATTTGTACTTGAAGTTCATCTCTAGACTTTTTAGTTATATGACTCATTAGCCAGAGTCTTGGTCTGTCATCCAGGCTGGAGTGCAGGAGTCCCATCATAGCTCACTGCAGCCTTGAACTCCTGGGCTTAAGCAATGCTCCCACATCAGCCTCCCAAGTAGCTAGGGCCACAGGTGTGTGCCACGAGGCCTGGCTAACTTATTATTATTATTATTTATTATTTTTTAGAGATCGGGGTCTCACTATGTTGCCCAGGCTAGTCTGAAACTTGTGGGCTTAAGTGATCCTCCCACCTCAGCCTCCCAAAGTGCCGAGATTACAGATGTGAGCCACTGTGCCTGCCTTCATGAACTTTTTTTTTTTTTAAAGCTTGTTTAAGTAGGGTTCTGTTGGGCTTTCAGCATGATGGTTTCTGTGTTCCATCCATGGTTTCACGGCCCTTGATGTGATCAAGCCTGAGACTGCAACGTCAGACCCCAAAAGGGACCCGGGAATGCTGTTGGAGGCAGGAGTGGAAGGCAAGAATGATAGCTTCGAGGAAGCAAAATACCTGCCAGCAACTCCATGCTGGACCAGATCAACTCCCGTCTGGAGCAGCTGGAGGAAAACCACCACCTCCACACCCACTTCCAGGAGCTGCTGGAATCCAACCGGCAGACACGCCTTGAGTTCCAGCAGCAGCTCCGGGAGGCCCCCAGCGATGTCAGCCTCTAGGCTCTGGGAGCCCCCAACCAGGCCCCAACCCTGCTTCCCTGGGCCAGGCTCTGGCCCCGCACCCCCTGGCTTAGATACCTTCCCAAGGGCTGGCCTTCAGTTTCCCCCAATGGGTCTGGCTGCCTGGGCCACCCTTCCAGCACTCCCCTTGGCCTGCCTGGGCCAGTCCCCACTGCCTGGCATCCCCTCCCAGAGTCAGGCATGGGCCTGCGACCCTCTACTTGCCTGCCACCCAGCTCATTCCACCCAGGCCTTAAGTGTCCACATAAAATGGGTCTCTCTCTCTCTCTTTCTCTCTCTCACACACACACACATACACACACACAAAGTAGGGTTCCATCACTGGTAAACAAAATCATCCTGACTGAAAGGCTGGGCTTTTTGTTTTGGCTATTTGGTGCTA
This sequence comes from Homo sapiens, assembly GCF_000001405.40. Lineage (NCBI taxonomy): Eukaryota > Metazoa > Chordata > Mammalia > Primates > Hominidae > Homo > Homo sapiens. The sequence goes on along the minus strand of NC_000022.11, from coordinate 28,835,489 downwards.
TCTGGTGGAGTAGGTGATTGGTAAGTATTCGTTAGATGGGTGGAGGTGTGGATAGACGTTGACATGAGGCAGTTTTCTTCCTTCATCCTGCTTTTCAACTTTTGAAGCCTAAGTACAGTCTTATTGTACAATATGGTGACTATAGTTAATAACATTGTATCATATACTTGCAAATTACTAAGAGAGGCCAGGCATGGTGGCTCACACCTGTAATCCCAGCATTTTGGGTGGCCAAAGTGGGCGGATCCCTTGGGGCCAGGAGTTCGAGACCAGGTTGGCCAACATGGTGAAACCCCGTCTCTACTCAAAATACAAAAACTAGCCGGGCGTTGTGGTACGCGCCTGTAGTCCCAGCTACTCGGGAGGCTGAGGCACGAGAATCGCTTGAACCCGGGAGGTGGAGGTTGCAGTGAGCCGAGAAGGCACCACTGCACTCCAGCCTGGGTGACAGCGTGAGACTCTGTCTCAAAAAAAAAAGAAAATTACTAAGAGAGATTTTAAGTGTTCTCACCACGCACACACACAAAAGATAAGTATGTTAGGCAAGCATATGTTGATTAGCTTGATTTAGCCATCCCACAATGTATACATATTTCAAAATATTATGTTGTGTACCATAAATATAGACAAATTTTGTCAATTAAAAATTAAATATTGGCTGGGCGGATCACTTGAGGTCAGGAGTTTGAGACCAACCTGGCCAACATGGCGAAACCCCATCTCTACTAAAAGACCGTCTCAAAAGAAAAATTTGAATAAAAATATCAATAATAATTTTTTTGAGACTACTCACTCTGTTGCCTAGGCTGGAGTGCAGTGGAGTGATCTCAGCACACTGCAACCTCCGCCTCCCAGGTTCCAGCTATTCTCGTGCCTCAGCCTCCCAAGTAGCTGGGACTACAGGCACTCGCCACCACACCAGGCTAATTTTTGTATTTTTAGTAGAGTCAGCGTTTTACCACATTGGCCAGGCTGGTCAAACTCCTGACCTCTAATGGTCTGCCCACCTGGGCCTCCCAAAGTGCTGGGATTACAGGCGTGAGCCACTGCGCCTGGCCTAAAAAATAATAATAATTTTAAAAACTATGTATTGTCCATGGTAGCCCAGGCCAGCCCTGCTGCACTGAAACCTCAAGTACATCTAATAGCACAGTGAGGAATAAAGTGCAGAAGTAACTGGTAACTGTGGCACAGCAAGAAATTTTCAACCTGTGGCTCAGACATTACGCTTACTTCGTGGTGGCTGACATGGACCTTCTCCCAGAATAAAAGGGATAAATGGCAGTAGCCCCCAGAGATCTAGACCTTTCTGACGGGACACATTCCTCATCCCATGTGGGCAGCTGAGGCCGGACTTCAAGTGCGCGTCTGAGGACCAAGGATCTGTGCCCAGGGCCAGGAAGTATGCTCGGTCTAAGGTATCTCCTTCACACAGCTCTTTGGCAGGTCCTGTAGAAAAGCCAATGACACTGGGCATGGTGGTTCACACCTGTGATCCCAGCAACTTAGGAGGCTGAGGCAAGGGGATCCCTTGAGGCCAGGAATTCAAAGCTGCAGTGAGCTATGATTGTGCCACTGCACTCTAGCCTGGGAGAAAGAGCAAGACTCCATCTCTAAAAAACAAGTGAAAAAAAAAAAAGCAAAGTGAAAATAATTCCAGCTGAGTCCATCTGCCTCACCAGTGCTTGAACCCAGACTGGGGGTCTGGTCTACCGCTTAGTCTCATCCAGGTATTGGTGGCATAGATACAGATGTGGGGACGGGGGAGGAAATGGCTTGAGGGATGAGACACTCATAAGTGAGAACCACAGAGTGGGTCAGAAACAGTCACTGTCAACTACCAATAATCAAGGCTGTCACTTTTCACTTTGTTTATAATGTGCCTTTTCATTCAGATGCTTTTAATTTTGATGCAAAGCAAATGATGTTTCTCCTGATTGGTACCTTTTGCATCTCTTTTTTCTTTTCTTTTCTTTTTCTCCTTCCTTCCTTCTCTCTCTCTCTCTTCCTTCCTTCCCTTTTTCTCTTTCTTTTTCTTTCTTCCTTCCTTCCTTCCTTCCTTTCTTCCTTCCTTCCTTTTTTCCTTTCCTTCTTTCCTTCTTCTTCTTTCTTTCTTTCTCTTTTTTATTTTTTTTTTGAGACAGGGTCTTGCTCTATTGCCTTGACCTGCTGGGCTCAAGCGTTCCTCCTACCTCAGACTCCCAAGTAACTGGAATTACAGGCACATGCCACCATGCCCAGCTAATTTTTTAAATTTTTTTGTAGGGATGGGGTTTTGTCATGTTGCCCAAGTTGGTCTTCAACTCCTGGGCTCAAGTGATCCTCCCACCTCAGCCTCCTAAAGTGCTGGAATAACAGGCAGGACCCACCCCACTGGCCTCATTTCATTTTTACATATAGTGCTTGGATGCATCTGAAATTTATTTACAGTTTGATGTGATGGAGCAAACCATTCCTATTTTTTTTCCCATATAACTAAGCTGTTATCCCAACACCATCCCCACTGCCCTGCTATTCTGATATCTGGGCTGAGTCAAAGTGGGCTGATTCAGCAGACTCAGTGAAGGTCACAGTGTGCCCAGCAGACTTTCTTGGGCACAGAACACTGGCCTTGCCCACACCTTAGAAGCTATGTTAATGAAGGAAGATGTTCTTATGAATTTTTTTTTTTTTTAGACAGAGTCTCGCTCTGTCATCTAGGCTTGAGTGCAGTGGCACAGTCTCAGTTCACTGCAACCTCCATCTCCTGGCTTCAACCAATTCTCCTGCCTCAGCCTCCCAAGTAGCTGGGATTATAGGCACCACCACCACGACCGACTAATTGTATTTTTACTAGAGATGGGGTTTCACCATGTTGGCCAGGCTGGTCTGGAACTCCTGACCTCAGGTGATCCACCTGCCTCTCGGCCTCCCAAAGTGCTGGGATTACAGGTGTGAGCCACCGCACCAGGCCTTCTTATGATTTTTTGAAAAGTCTCGGTTTAAAACTGTAACAACTTTACAGGCTGGGCATGGTGGCTCACGCTTGTAATCCCAGCACTTCGGGGGGCTGAGGCAGGCGGATTGCTTGAGCTCAGGAGTTTAAGGCCAGCCTGGGGAACATAACCAAACCCTGTCTCTACAAAAGATACAAAACTTGGCAGGGTGTGGTGGTGCATGCTTGTAGTCCCAGCTTCTTGGGGGCTGAGGTGTTCACTTGAGCCTGGGAGGTGGAGGCTGCAGTGAGCCATGTTCACAACACTGCAATCCAGCCTGGGTGACAAAGCAAGACACTCTATCAAAAACAGAAACAAAAAATATTATAAGCAGAGAGTGAAGAATAGTACAAGGTCATGGTTACAAATCCAAGCTTTAGAGTGAGACAGAGGTAACATCAAACTTTGCTTCCCCTCTAAGATGTGTTTCTTCACAGGACTCTATTGATACCCTTCCTGGATGGCCCCAGCTAGCATCATCACCTCCAGTTCTTCCCTAGCTGTCAAACTCCACAACCCTACTCCAGATTACGACGGCTCACAGTGGGAACCCACTCTTAAAGGCTTAGGCTGGGCTCCCAGAAGCAGAGACTGAGGCAGGAATTCCCATGCAATTGATTTATTGAGGGAGGCCCTAGGGAGAAACCTGCAAGGAAGTGAGGAAAGCGGAACAGCGCCAGGGAGGGAGCTGAGCAAACATGTGCTTTCAGGAGAGGTCTGACCACAGCCTGATTCCAAGGGGAGCGCTGCAGTGTTGGCCCCACCTTGAGGTCAGGGGCTGGCTTTTATGCAGCACCCCATTAGCCAGTCACTGGCCTTGGGCCACCCCGGCTGTGTGTGTAACCTCTCAGACACCCACCAGAGACAACTGTACCCACCACAGAGACACCAGCACCCACCAGAGACAACAACACCCACCACAGAGACACCAGCACCCAACTCAGAGACAACAACACCCACCAGAGACAACAGCACCCACCACAGAGACAACAACACGCACCTCAGAGACACCAACACCCACCTCAGACACAACAACACCCACCACAGAGACACCAGCACCCACCTCAGAGACAACACCCACCACAGAGACAACAGCACCCACCAGAGACACCAGCACCCACCTCAGAGACAACACCCACCACAGAGACAACAGCATCCACCTCAGAGACAACAACACCCACCAGAGAGAAAACAGCTCCCACCTCAGAAACAACAACACCCACCAGAGAGACAACAGCACCCACTCAGAGACAACACCCACCACAGAGACAACAGCACCCACCTCAGAGACAACAGCACCCACTGCAGAGACACCACCCACCAGAGAGACAATAGCACCCACCACAGAGACAACAGCACCCACCTCAGAAAAATATTCTTTGAGTTTTGTTTTTTTTTTTTAGAGAGACAGGGTTTCACTTTGTCCCCAGGCTGCACTGCAGTGGCCTAATCGTAGCCTTGAACCTCTGGGCTCAAATGATCCTTCTGCCTCAGCTGCATGAGTGCTGGGATTACAGGAGTGCACCACCATGACTGGATTTTTTTTCTTCTAATTTTAGTAGAGATGGGGTCTCATCATGTTACCCAGGCTGGTCTCAAACTCCTGACTTAAGCGATCTTTCCTTCTTGACCTCCCAAAGTGCTGGGAATACAGGCATGAGCCACTGTGACCAGCCCATAAAGAAGTATTCTAAGCAAAATCTGAGGATAGGGTTGGACCAGTATGATGATGGGAAAGAATTAGAGAAAAATGTGAACTTGGATATGTCTTCACCAAGCTTAATCTGAGAATAATCTATTTTACTGTTTTATGTCTGTGATGTTTCTCTGGTTTAATAAAAATGTGCTTTGCCTTTTTATTTGAGATAGGATTTCACTCCCATTACCCAAGCTGGAGCGCAATTGCACGATCTCAGCTCACTGCAACATCTGACTCCCAGGCTCCAGTGATCCTCCCAGCTCATCCTCCTGAGTAGCTGGGATCAGAGGCCCGGGCTAATATGCCTGTAATTTTTTTTTATTTTTTGTAGAGACAGGGTTTCACCATGTTGCCCAAGCTGGTCTAACACCCCTGGGCTCAAGCCATCCACCTGCCTTGGCCTCTCAAAGTGCTGGGATTACAGGCATGAGCAGTGCGCCTGGCCTCTCTTTCTTTTAAACAGGGTCTCGGTCTATTACCCAGGCTGGAGCATGGTGCTGTAATCACAGCTCATTGCAGCCTCTAATTCTTGGGTTCAAGAGATCCTCTGCCTCAGCCTCCTGAACAGCTGGGACTACAGATGCATGCCAGAGCACCCGGCTAATTTTTTAAAATTTTTGTAGAGATGGGGGTCTCTCCATGTTGACCAGGCTGGTTTTGAACTCCTGGCTTCAAGTGAACCTTCTGTGTTGGCCTCCCAAAGTGTTTGGATTACAGGCGTCAGTCACTGCACTCGGCTGCTCAGGTTTCGTATAGCAAGCCTTCGCTTCAGCCTGTTTGATTAGGTTTCTGTCCCTTGACTGGACTTTGTTTCTAGAGGTGTTAAATCAGTAGCAAACACTTATTTGTCAGGAACAGTAGCACATACATGACATGCACACTTGCCTTCATCTTCAGAACAGTCCTGTCTTTGCTACACAAGAGGAAATGGAAAGTCAGGAAGATTATGTAACTTGCCCAGTCACCCAACAGCAAGCACTAACTCAGGCCTGTCTGATTTGGCAAACAGTGGCTCAAAATCACCGTTCAATGGCTGGAAAGCTAATCTTCAGATTTATAGTGAGGCAATCCTTTTAAGTGCAAAGCTGAAGGAATGTTTACAAAACAAATGTCAAACATTTTACAAATGTTTGAAAGTGGCAAAAGTTGATCCTCACTGGGATCAACCTGGGTGTGGGTTACGGGGTTTTGTTTTGGGGAACTGCTGAATAGAACCATCATCGCATGTGCAGTGAAGACAATTGGCCACTAGATGGCCCTGCAGCTCTTTGCGGTGCCATCGCCAACCGCATTGGCCTCTTGGCTCCCAGGGGCCAAACCACATGAAAACAGACAAATGAGAAAAATAAGCACAATGTAGGGCATTTTTCAAAAAACGTAATGTACTAAATTTAAAAGTCCATCCAATATTCTGAGATCATGTTCTTCCTACTCTTTTGAATGGTAATAGATGATCGCTTCTCGCCAAATATTCTTTCTTGGCAAAAATTGACCTAGCTTTGGACACATTTCCCCTCCCCACTTTTAAAAAGTGGGATTGTGAATTGCAAAAACCTGGGATTGGTAAAAATACCAGCTTCTCATAAAAAGTGGATCCAAGGCCAGGCACGGTGGCTGACGCCTGTAATCCGAACACTTTGGGAGGCCGGGGCGGGCAGATTGCCTGAAATTGGGAGTTCGAGACCAGCCTGGCCAGCATGATGAAACCCCATCTCTACTAAAAATACAAAAATTATCCGGGCGTGGTGGCAGGTGCCTGTAATCCCAGCTAATCAGGAAACTGAGGCAGTAGAATTGCCTGAACCCAGGAGGCGGAGGTTACAGTGAGCAGAGATTATGCCGTTGAACTCCAGCCTGGGCAACAGAGCGAGACTCCATCTCAAAAAAAAAAAAGGCTGGGCGCGGTGGCTTACACCTGTAATCCCAGCACTTTGGGAAGCCAAGGGGGGCGGATCACCTGAGGTCAGGAGTTTGAGACTAGCCTGGCCAACATGGCGAAATCCTGTTTCTACTAAAAATACAAAAATTAGCTGGGCGTGGTGGCGGGCGCCTGTAATCCCAGCTACTCAGGAGGCTGAGGCAGGAAAATTGCTTGAATCCAGGAGGCAGAGGTTGCAGTGCACTGTGATGGCACCACTGCACTCCAGCCTGGGCAATAGAACAAGACTCCATCAAAAAAAATTATATTTACATTATTAGAAGCTATTTTTTAACAGTAAAATAAAACACTGTTGATAAAAATATTGTAAAGTCGGCCAGGCGCGGTGGCTCATGCCTGTAATCCCAGCACTTTGGGAGGCTAAGGCAGGTGGATCACTTGAGGTCAAGAGTTCAAAAACGGCCTGACCAACATGATGAAACCCTGTTTCTAATAAAAACACAAAATTAGCTGGGCACGGTCGCGCATGCCTGTAATCCCAGCTATTTGGGAGGCTGAGGCACGAGAATCACTTGATCCCAGGAGGTGGAGGTTGCAGTGAGGCCAGATCGCGCCATTGCATTCCAGCCTGGGCAACAAGAGCAAAACTCCGTCTCAAAAAAAAAAGAAATATATATATATATATATATATATATATATATATATATAGATGTCAAGGAAGTTTAGAGTCAGTAAGAATTTCCTAGGGGAAATATCGACATTAATTGTTAAACAATTGGACCATTAGGAAGGTACAAATACGTGGGGTACATACATAGACAAATATGTCTCTAGTTGGTTCTAGAGAAAGTGAAAGGAAAAGACGTTTAGTGCATTGCAGACAGTGGCACAACTGAGGGGTTGGCTGAGAAAGCTCAGATCTACTAGGGTCTGAGGATGTCCTAAAGTGGATAGGGATGAATCTGGGAAGAGGAATCTCAAATGAATACAGTCTTCTTTTGCACTTAAAAGATGAAGTGTAAAAAAAAGTAATAAATAAGACCAGGTGCGGTGGCTCAGGCCTGTAAACCTAGCACTTTGGAAGGCCAAGGTGGGCGGATCACTTGAGATCAGGAGCTGAAGACCAGCCTGGCCAACATGGTGAAACCCTGTCTCCACTAAAAATACCAAAATTAGCTGAGTGTGGTGGCACACGCCTGTAATACCAGCTACTGGGGAGGCTGAGGCAGAAGAATCGTTTGAACCTGGGAGGCGGAGGCTGCAGTGAACCGAGATGGTGCCATGGCACTCCAGACTGGGCAACAGAGTGAGACTCCGTCTCAAAATAACTAAATAAAAATAAATAAGTACATACATACATAAAAGATGAGGTGTGTTGGGCCAGGCGCAATGGCTCACGCCTGTAATCCTAGCACTTTGGGAGGCCAAGGTAAGTGGATCACCTGAGGTCAGGAGTTTGAGACCAGCCAAGCCAACATGGAGAAACACTGTTTCTACTAAAAATACAAAAATTAGCTGGAAGTGGTGGCAGGTGTCTGTAATCCAAGCTACTCGGGAGACTGAGGCAGGAGAACTGCTTGAACCCGGGAGGCAGAGGTTGCAGTGAGCTGAGATCACGCCACTGCACTCCAGCCTGGGCAACAGAGCAAGCCTCCATCTCAAGAAAAAGAAAAAAAAAAAAAAAAAGGAAAGTAAGTGTTGGGCAAGAGTCAGATCAGAAGCCAAGGATGAGCATCTGAGAGCAAGCGTGACCGCTCACTAGGTTCAGGAAGCAGTGCCCGAAAGATTCCCAGAGATAAGGGGGCGAGGAGCAGAAGAATTTTGGAGGGTGCCGCTGTGTGGTGCCTGGAATCCGTAACCTCAAATGGCAAAGGGTAGCAAGAAAAGAGGCTGGCCCTAGTACTGTGGTTCCTCTAGGCAGCTGCAGGACTTAGAGACAGTGGAGAAGGTGGAGGAGAATGTCCCCTGCTTGGGACAACTCTTCCCCCAATCCTGCCATTTCTCTCCTGCCTCCTCCCTCTTGGTGTTCTGAGCCCCAAAACTAACCCCAGTTTTCCTAAATAAGAAATAAGCATGCAAAATAGTTCAGTAGCCAAGTAATTTGATCATTCTAATTCCATGATTTATAATCCTTTGGGTATATACCCAGTAATGGGATGGCTGGGTCAAATGGTATTTCTAGTTGTAGATCCCTGAGGAATCGCCACACTGTCTTCCACAATGGTTGAACTAGTTTACAGTCCCACCAACCGTGTAAACGTGTTCCTATTTCTCCACATCCTCTCCAGCACCTGTTGTTTCCTGACTTTTTAATGATTGCCATTCTAACTGGTGTGAGATGGTATCTCATTGTGGTTTTGATTTGCATTTCTCTGATGGCCAGTGATGAGCATTTTTTCATGTGTCTGTTGACTGCATAAATGTCTTCTTTTGGGAAGTGTCTGTTCATATCCTTCGCCCACTTTTTGATGGGGTTGTTTGATTTTTTCTTGTAAATTTGTTTAAGTTATTTGTAGATTCTGGATACTAGCCCTTTTTCAGATGGGTAGATTGTAAAAATTTTCTCCCATTCTGTAGGTTGCCTGTTCACTCTGATGATCGTTTCTTTTGCTGTGCAGAAGCTCTTTAGTTTAATTAGATCCCATTTGTCAATTTTGGCTTTTGTTGCCATTGCTTTTGGTGTTTTAGACATGAAGTCCTTGCCCATGCCTATGTCCTGAATGGTATTGCCTAGGTTTTCTTCTAGGGTTTTTATGGTTTTAGGTCTAACATTTAAGTCTTTAATCCATCTAGAATTAATTTTTGCATAAGGTGTAAGGAAGGGATCCATGTCAGCTTTCTACATATGGCTACACGGCTGGCTAATTTTGTATTTTTAGTAGAGACGGTGTTTCTCCATATTGGTCAGGCTGGTCTTGAACTCCTGACCTCAGGCGATCTGCCTGCCTCGGCCTCCCAAAGTCCTGGATTACAATTGTGAGCCACCGCATCTGGCTGCCACCATTCTAAATAATGTCTACTTTGCTTTATCTTGATTTATCAGTTTTTGACTTTATTCATTGATTTCCAAATGAGTGATGAATTTTCTTTTTACCACCACTCCCACCTTCCCCCTTCTCCTAATATATTTTGTCACTATTTTTATTAAATGTTTACAGCGTGCACACTATTGTGATTATGTAATTATTATTCATAGCTGAGACACATAGTATATGATGATTACACTTTCATTCTTTTATAACTTTTCGTTTTTCCTGTAACTTTTTTTAAAAATAGAGATGGGGGCCGGGGGTGGGTCGGGGGGATCTTATTGTGTTGCCCAGGCTGGTCTCAAACTCCTGGCCTCAACCAATCCTCCCACCTCAGCCTCCCAAAGTGCTGGAATTACAGGTGTGAGCCACCACACCAAGCCTGTTTAACCTGCCTCATTTTCTTCATTTCTTTACTTTTTAAATACATACCTATTGCTATTTTTATTAAAAAATGCATCTGCGGATGTCTTTTTTTTTTTTTTTTTTTTTTGGTGAGTTGGAGTCTCGCTCTGTCACCCAGGCTAGAGTGTAGTGATCATGGCTCACTGCAGCCTTGACCTCCTGGACTCAAGCAATCCTCCCAGCTCAGCCTCCCAAGTAGCTGGGATTACAGGTGCACACCATCATGCCCAGCTAATTTTATTATTTTTTGTAGAAATGAGGTCTCACTGTGATCAGCTCAGACTGGTCTCGAACTCCTAGACTCAAGTGATCCTCGCACCTCAGCCTCTCAAAGTGCAAGGATTACAGGCTTGAGCCATCACACAGGCCCTAAAGAAAATCTTTATTTTATCCTGACACTTGATTAGTGTGTTTGGCCAAGTTGAGAATGAGGGAAATAGGAATCTGATGGGAAGTTCTCTATTTATATATGAAGGACTTATTAATTGCTTGGTTTTTCCTGCAAAATGATCAAGGGGAAACTTGCCTTTTCCTTTGATGACTCCCAAAATGAGAGTGTGTGGGATCATTTATCTGAGACAACTCAGTTTTTCTAGAGAAGAACCTACAATCTCCTGTCTGGGCACAAACTTTCTGGGAGTAGGAGAAATGAAGGGGACTGGAAGTCTTTGTGTTTTTTTGTTTGTTTGTTTGTTTATTGAGACAGAGTCTGGCTCTGTTGCCCAGGCTGGAGTGCAGTGACACAATCCTTTTTTATTTTTTATTTTTTTTTGAGACGGAGTCTCGCTTTGTCACCCAGGCTGGAGTACAGTGGCGCCAGTGGCGCAATCTTGACTCACTGCAACCTCTCCCTCCCGGGCTTAAGTGATCCTCCCACCTCAACCTCCCAAGTACCTGGGACTACAGGTGCGCCGCCATGCCCAGGTAATTTTTAAATTTTTTTTAGAGACAAGGTCTCACCATGTTGCCCAGGCTGGTCTTGAACTCCTGGGCTCAAGCGATCCTCCCGCCTCAGCCTCCCTAAGTGCTGGGATTACAGGTGTGAGCCACTGCACCCAGCCTTATTATGCAGACTTTCAATAAAAGTTCTTAGTTCTGAGTCTTATCTCAATTCCCTGCCATGCCTGGGGTACCTAAATCTGGAGCTTCTTAGGTTCAATTTTTCCAGACTTCAAATTTAACTACACAGGTGAGGGTTCTAGGGAACCAAGTGATAGACAGTGATCTGTTCTCTTTTTACCAGATAGATCACCCTATTTTATCCCTTAATGACAAAAGGACTTTCTATAATGTCTCAAACATAGGGTTGCCAGATTTAATAAGTAAAAATACAAAATGTCTGGTTAAATTTGAATTTCAGATTTTCAGATGAACAATGCAATATGTCGGATATACTTATACTAAAAGTAATTTGTTTCTTTGAAATTCATATTTGACCAATAGCCTTTATTTATTTATTTATTTATTTATTTATTTTGAGATGGAGTCTCACTCTGTTACGCAGGCTGGAGTACAGTGATGTGATCTCGGGTCACTGCAACCTCTGTCTCCCGGGTTCAAGTGATTCTCCTGCCTCAGCCCCCTGAGTAGCTGGGACTATAGGCGCACACCACCACGCCCAGCTAATTTTTGTTATTTTTAGTAGAGAACACTGTTTCACTGTGTTGGCCAGGCTAGTGTCAAACTCTTGACCTCAGGTTATCCACCCGCCTTGGCCTCCCAAAGTGCTGGGATTACAGGTGTGAGCCACTACACCCGTCCCACTGTTCTAATTTCTATCACCATAGTGTACTCTAGCCTGTTCTCAAACCTCATATACCTAGGCTTATAGATTGTACTCTTGTACCTGGCTTCTCTCATTTAATATAATTAGTTTAGTTTAGTTTAGTTTGTGTGAGTGTGTGTGTGTGTGTGTGTGTGTGTGTAACTAAGGGGAAATGCATGTAACATAAAAGAAATTGTTGTAAAGTGAAAAATTCGGTGGCATTTAGTACATTTGCAATTCGGCACAACCACCACTTCTGTCTAGTTCCAAAACATTTTCATTACCCGCAAAGGAGTCCTCATTCCTGTGAAGCACTCAGCATTCTCCCCACCCCCAGCACCTGGCAACCACTAATCTGCTGTCTGTCTAACCTTTTCTTTTTATGGTTCATCAGTTCTTTACTGTCTGGTAAAATCCCACAAGCAGAGAAGGATTATTTTAAAAGGGCTCCAAGGAAGGAAAGCCAGGGGAACAAAAGCAGCACTAGGTAAAGTAAAATTTGGCCAGATGATCAAGCCACAAAGAAGGAAAACATTCCTAACCCCAAGATAGAGTCTACTCTTCATCTTGGGCAGAAGGTTCCTGTTCAAACCAGTCTTGAAGGCTGCCCTGATGCTATCTACGTGAGCAGTGTTTAATTTCTGTCAACAAAGCACAATTCAGTGGCAATGTTGAAAGAGAAAAAGCCACACAGCTGGCTCTCTCTGCAAATGACATTGACATAAAGACCAAAGTAAATGTTAGCATCCTGGAAACAGCAGCAGGTGTCTTAAGTGGAACAGCAGCTACTGGGGAGAACTGTGGCCACCTGCTAAGTAGCATCTACTCAGAATTCACTTGAAACAATTATAAAAGTTATAATTTCAGACTTCTGGATGCATTTGATCATGCATTTTTTTGCTGTGTCTTTCTTTGCATTGCTGGGGATTGCTGGACAATTTCTGATGTTTTCTAGAGAGGTTCTTGCCCACCACCATATGCTTAGCACCCAGTACCTAGTGTGATGCTTGCCACATAGTAGGTGAACAATAAACATTTTTTGGGGTGAATGAATGAATGAGCAAACCATCTGGGGCACTGACTCGAAAAGTGGAATCATAAAATCACTGCAGTTTAGACTTAAGAGGAGAAGGAGAAGGAAAAACAAGCTAATAAATGAACTCCCGGGCGGGCAAGGTGACTTACACCTGTAATCCTAGCACTTTGTGAGGCCGAGGCAGGTGGATCACTTGAGGCCAGGAGTTTGAGACCAGCCTGGCCAACAGGGCGAAACTCTGTCTCTACTAAAAATACAAAAATTAGCTGGGCATGGTGGCAGGCGCCTGTAATCCCAGCTACTCGGGAGGCTGAGGTGCAAGAATCATTTGAATCAGGGAGGTGGAGGCTGCAGTGAGCCGAGATTGCACCACTGCACTCCAGTCTGGGCGACAGAGCAAGACTCTGTTTCAAAACAAACAAACAAACCAAAAAACCCCAAAAAAACAAAAAACCAAGAACTCCCACAAGGGACTATGCAAGGTGGTTTACATGCATGACTCCCTTTAATCTTCACAATTACCTTCAAAGTTATCATGATGCCAGTTTTACAGATGAGGAAACTGATGGTCACAGAGATTGTCTCTTAGAATGCCAAGTCGAAGCCTTTCACTTGGAAGCTGAGGAACCTCAGGCCCAAAGCGCTCAGGGGTCTTGAACTAGTCGACAGAGCTAGCCTCGTTACCGGCCCACTTAGGATGTTTCCAGTTCTGCTTTTGGCTGAAGGCACACTGTAATGATTCCAGAAGCAATATGACCATCAATATCCAAGGAACAGAAAGTTTCCAAAAGCAAAGTGTTCATCTATTAAAACGGGATGGGGACATTAAGACTCCTGGGCAGGTTTTAGGCAAATAAGTCTTTACAGGTTACCCAAGGTGGATTCATGTCTCGAGGTCTCAGGAGATAGATATGGATGAGCAGCAGTAGGTCAGAGGTTCAGGAGCCAGACAGGCCTGGTGCTGGAGCCATGGGGATTTGCCAGCAGGTCCTGGCTGCATCACTTTTAACCTTTCTGTGCCTCAGATGAGCAACTGATTAGGGATGTACTGAGTCCCTGCCAGGTGCTCTGCCAAAAAGGACAAATTTGGCCAATAATAGTTACTGAGGGCTATCAAGTGGCTTGAGAGTTACAAAGGTTCATACATAAGATACAGTCCCTATTAGCTGGGCATGGTGGTACATGTCTGTTGTCCCAGCTACTTGGGAGGCTGAGGCAGGAGGATCATATGAGCCTGAGAGGTGGAGGCTGCAGTGAGCCATGATCACACCACTGCACTCCAGCATAGGCGAGAATGAGATCCTGTCTCAAAAAAAAAAAAGAAAGAAAGAAAAAAGAAAAAAAAAATTCCAGTCCCTGCTTTTTTCTCTAATCAGGTGACAAACCATCCTGCTTTGCTGGAACTGTCCCAGTTTAAGCACTGAAAATCCCCCATCCCAGGAAACCCCTCAGTCCTGGGCACACAGGCCAATTGGTCCCCATGGAAGGTCTTGATGGGAAGGGGAAGGAGAAACCACACATGAGAGATAATGATGAACACTAGCTGGGGGCATGTGATGCCACGTCTAATACAGAGGCCCCCAAGGGACTCAGGACAGCAGTGCTGTACACACCACATCAGACCCTGCAGCAAAAGGAAACACCAAGAGTATTGATCTTTCTTTGTTTAAAAATGTGGTATTTGGGGCCAGGCACAATGGCTCACATTTGGGAGGCCGACATGGGAGGATCACTTGAGCCCAGGCTGCCTCCCTCCCAAAGTGCTGAGATTACAAGTGTGAGCCACCATGCCCAGCCCAAAGCAGTTTTTTGTTGTTGTTGTTGTTGTTTTTGAGACGGAGTTTCACTCTTGTTGCCCAGGCTGGAGTGCAATGGCGCGATCTCAGCTCACCGCAACCTCTGTCTCCTGAGTTCAAGTGATTCTCCTGCCTCAGCCCCCCAAGTAGCTGGGGTTACAGGTGCCTGCCGCCACGCCTGGCTAATTTTGTATTTTTAGTAGAGACGGGATTTCTCCATGTTGTTCAGGCTGGTCTCGAACTCCTGACCTCAGGTGATCTGCCCACCTCAGCCTCCTAAAATGCTGGGACTACAGGCGTGAGCCACTGCACTGGCCATTTTTGTTTGTTTTTAAGAGACAGGGTCTTGGCTGGGTGCGGTGGCTCACACCTGTAATCCCAGCACTTTGGGAGGCCGAGGTGGGAAGATCATTTGAGGTTTGAGACTGGCCTGGTCAACATGGTGAAACCCCATCTCTACTAAAAATACAAAAATTAGCCGGTTGTGGTGGTGCTTGCCTGTAGTCCCAGCTACTCAGGGGGCTGAGGCAGGATAATCACTTGAACCTGGTTCCAGTGAGATGAGATTGTGTCACTGCACTCCAGCCTGGGCAACAGAGCAAGACTCTGTCTCAGAAAAAAATTTTAAAAAGAGACGGGACCTTGCTCTGTCACTCAGGCTGGAGTGCAGTGGTGTGATCATAGCTCACTGTAGTCTTGAACTCCTGGGCTCAAGTAATCCTCCCATCCCACTTCAGCCTCCCAAGTAGCTGGGACTACAAGTGCACACCACCCTGCCCAGCTAATTATTTATTTTTTGTAGAAATGAGGTTTTGCTCTGTTGTCCACTCTGGTCTTCCACTTTGACCTCCAAAAGTGCTGGGATTACAGGTATGAGCCACCTTGTCCAGCCATGAAGCTCATACTGGACCCCAGGCAACTGGATTCTACTCTGTGTGTGCCTAACCACCAGGCTGCACTGCCTAAGTCAAACTGACCCCTGCAGCCTCAGGCCTCAAACATCATCAACTTGGTTTTCTTCACTTCAAAGATGAGGAACAGAGAGGTGCAAGTGTTAATAACAGTAGAACTAGGACTACAGCTCTGGATTCCTGGCTTCCAGTCCAAGGGCACATTCTCATGGTTGTCTCTCAAAGCAAGGCACCCCTGGGGAGCTTGCATGCCCTGCCAGGGCCTTCAGGTGCTATTTACTCAGCTAGGTGTGGACTCTGCCCGGCTTCTGGGCTATTGTTTGCACAGCAAATGTCACCCAGCACCCCCTCCAACCAAGGAATGGGGACAAAGATGAAAAAACATTCTTTTGCTGGTTTCAGACACCTTGACATGAGTTTTCAGTTTCTATCTAATCAAACGCAAATTACTGAAAGAGGGGGTTGCCTGAGAAGTGTCTAAAAGCAGTGGACCAGGCCTGGATCTTTTCCATGCCTGGGCAACCTCCAGGACACGGGGCAAGGAATCTAGATTTGAATCCCAGTTCCATTAGCAGGGCATGGTGGTTTACACCTGTAGTCCCAGCTGCCTGGGAGGCTGAGGTGGGAAGATCACGTGAGCCTGGGAAGTAGAGGCTGCAGTGAGCTGTGATCACACCACTGCACTCCAGCCTGGGCGACAGAGTGAGACCTTGTCTCAAAATAATAATAATAATAAGATCCCAGTTCCACCACTGACAATTTCATGGTCATCAGCTTAACCTCACAGGGCCTCATTCTCCTCTGAGAAAAGGGGCCAATTCCTAACTTGCGGGAACCAAAGAGAGAATGGATGCCAAGTGCTCACACAGTGCCTAGCATACATCCAACATTCGTTAGCTATCCTTCCTAAAGCTGACTTATTTCAGATATCTCATGTATGTCTCTTTGAAAATAAAGGAAGCTTTAAAGTATAGAGGACAAAAACAAGGCTTACTGTTTTTCCCTACTCTGACTTTACCTGGCTTCTTCCTAGAAAAGGGTTCCAAGAACTTTTAGAAATAGAAAGTGAACAAACAAGGCAGATCTTAATCTGTAAAAACAGCCCTACAGATTCCCTCTTTCTCAGGAAGGCCACTGCCTGCAGCTGGAAGCAAATCCACTTAATCAGTAATTTTAGCTCCCTGATCAGTTTCCATCAAGCAGTTCCTATTCTTGAACCAGGATATGCAAACATGGGCACTTACTGGAAGGGAGGTTTCAGGGCCTCTGGGATTTCGTCAGCTGCTCACTCTCCCAGGAGAGCTTGTGGGACCTGTCAAGCCAGTGGCCAAGGACAGAAAGCAAGCTGAACATTTCAAGGTCTACTGGGCCTCCCCCCTTTCAGTTTTTAATTCAGGCAGAACACATTTAAGAAATGCCAAGGAGGAAACTGGATTTATGGCTGCCACGCCAAGTGGGGTGAGGAAAGAAAACAAGAGGAAATACAAAAGGTTGCCTACCTCATTGTACAAAGTGAGGAGGCAAGACAGGTGCACAGAGCATAGCTTTGTCCCATCTCAGGAGCCCTGGGTTCCATCCCAGCTCCTGATCCCAAGAGATACGTTTCCCGGGACTCCAAGGGAGAGCTGAAACACTGGTCAAGCTCAGAGACCTGAAGCTCTTTCCCACTGCTTTAGGGACAGCATCAAAGCAGGGAAGTAGGGGTGGTGAGTGTGTAAAATTTAAGGCCAATTGCAGAGGTGGGGGAAGGATATTCTTTCTCTCTCTCTCTCTCTTTCTCTCTCTCTCTCACACACACACACACACACACATACACACATCCTGCCTCCCATTTTTAAAACAAGTTGTTTATTAAGGTCAGGTGAGGTGACTCACGCCTGTAATCCCAGCACTTTGGGAGGCCAAGGCAGGCAGATCACCTGAGGTCAGGAGTTCGAGACCAGAGTTGCCAACACGGTGAAACCCCGTCTCTACTAAAAGTACAAAAATTAGGCGGGCGTGGTGGTGGGCGCCTGTAATCCCAGCTACTCGGGAGGCTGAGGCACAAGAATCGCTTGAGCCTGGGAGGCGGAGGTTGCAGTGAGCTGAGATCACACCACTGCACTACAGCCTGGGCAACAGAGCGAGACTCCATCTCAAAAAAAAAAAAAGTTGGTTAAAAGAGAAATATTAAGGGAGTCTTGAAGGGGCTGGAGTGAAGGCAGGAAAGAGACAAAGGACAAGAGTTAAAATAAGTAGAGACAGAAATCTAGCAGGATCAGCCAGGCATGGTGGCTCATGCCTGTAATCCCAGCACTTTGGGAGGCTGAGGCGGGTGGATCACCTGAGATCAGGAGTTTGAAACCAGCCTGGCCAACATAGTGAAACCCCGTCTCTACTAAAAATACAAAAAATTAGCCAGGTGTGGTGGTGGGTGCCTGTAACCCCAGCTATTTGGGAGGCTGAGGCAGGAGAATCGCTTAAACCTGAGAGGCAGAGGTTGCAGTGAGCCAAGACTGTGCCACTGCACTCCAGCCTGGGCAATAGTGCGAGACTCCGTCTCAAAAAAAAAAAAAAAAAAGAAAAAAAATCTAGAAGGATCTTCTTATACTGCCTTGGGGACAGTAGCAGGTGTTAAAGGCTGAATATATTTTTTTCTTTAGTTTCAAGTAATTTTTAGCACTAGATGAACTGTTATTGCTTTTTTGAGATTCTATCTCAGGTGCAGGTGGCTTCTAGCTTCTTTGGCAGGGAAAAGAGGCATGAAGAAAAGAAGCTAAATTCTGTGCAAACTCCTACTCATCCTTCAAAGCCTATTTGAACATCCTCTCCTTTACGAAGCCTTCCCTGATGGCCCTGGGGAGTTAGGTGTCTTTCTCTTTCCTCAGTACCACCACTTAGGGATGGTGACAGTTACACTGCATTGGAACTATTTGCATGTCTCTCTCCTCTTCTGGATTCTGGTCCCCTGAGAGCAAGATAAAGGCATCAGCGTTCAGGATGAATGCATGACCCCAAATCCAAGGTTTTCTGGCAGTGGTTACGATCATGATGCTAGAAATATCAATTTATTGCAGTTGTCATGACCCAGCTTCTGGACACCAAATAAAAAAGCATTGAATGCAAATGATAGAGCACAGGTGAAGGATGGTGAATTTTAGGAGAACCTTAAGTCTGCACAAAACCAAATTGTTCTCCCTCTCATGCTGGTACCTGAGAGAATGTGGGACACTCCCTTCTCCCTTGGTCAAGATTAGAGGAGTCCCTTTAGTTTTTATTTATTTTTTTGAGACAGATTTCTCTCTTGTTGCCCAGGCTGGAGTGCAGTGGCATGATCTCAGCTCACTGCAACCTCCCTCTCCCGGGTTCAAGCGATTCTCCTTCCTCAGCCTCCTGAGTAGCTGGGATTACAGGCACACGCCACCACACCTGGCTAATTTTTTGTATTTTTAGTAGAGACGGGGTTTCACTATGTCGGCCAGGCTGGTCTCAAACTCCTGACCTCAGGTGATCCACTCGCCTTGGCCTCCCAAGGTGATGGGATTACAGGTGTGAGCCACTGCACCAGGCCAGAGGAATCCCTTTATAAAGCTGTGTTTTCGGCTGGGTGCGGTGGCTCACGCCTGTAATCCCAGCACTTTGAGGGGCCGAGGCAGGCAGATCACCTAAGGTCAGGAGTTTGAGATCAGCCTGGTGAAACCCCATCTCTACAAAAATACAAAAATTAGCCAGGCGTGGTGGCGTGCACCTGAAATTCCAGCTACTAGGGAGGCTGAGGCAGGAGAATCACTTGAACCCGGGGGGCGGAGGTTGCAGTGAGCTGAGATCGTGCCACCACATTCCAGCCTGAGCAACAGAACAAGACTCTGTCTCAAAAAAAAAAAAAAAGAAAGAAAGAAAAAGAAAAGAAAAGAAAGATAACTGTGTTTTCAGTGATTTTCCCCAAGACTTTTTGTTTTGTTTTGTTTTTTTGAGACAGTGTCTTGCTCTGTTGCCCAGGCTGGAGTGCAGTGGTACAATCTCAGCTCACTGCAGTCTCAGCCTTCTGGGCTCAAGTCATCCTCCCTCTTCCCACCCAAACCTCCCCGGTAGCTGGGACTACAGGCATGTGTCACCACGCCCAGTTGATTCTTGTATTTTTTGTAGAGACGGGGTTTCACCACGTTGCCTAGGCTGGTCTTGAATGCCTAGGCTCAAGCGATCCGCCTGCCTTGGCCTCTAAAAGTGCTGGGATTACAGGCATGAGCCACAATACCTGGCCTTCCCCAAGACTTTTAAGTGAAACTTAGAATCAAATAATGCACTTCCAGCAATCCTGAACAAATCTGATTTTTCAAGACATTGCTGAAACACTTCAATTTGAGAAATGTTTATTCCGACCCAAAGCCATACCCAGGGCAGCTGTCTTCTTTTTCCCTTTATTCCATAAGGTAAGAAAAAAACATACTCACAGAGCCTTAGAGTTGTAAAGGCACCTGGTCACCTGGAAGGTGACTTGAAAGAACCCCTGCCCCTCCTCTTGCATATACCTCTGGATTGTTGGGGAATCTGCATTCATTTCTTCACCCGCACTGCCTCTGTACAGAACCCCGCTGAGTCAGTGTCTGTTCCAGGCACCTCCACACGTGTTCCCATGTGCTGAGGGGGCCATTGGTGGGCAGGCAGACCTCAGAAACAGTTGGTTGCAGTTGCTATCACTTTCCTTTAGATATCTAGGCAGTATTTCCTAGAGTGAAGTCAGAGTGGCTCAGGCTAAGATGGGCTGCCTTTGTTTTGGAGCCCGGAACTATACATTCAACAAGCTCCTTCCTGTGTGCCAGGCACTCTGCTAGGTCGTCTTCACGCACATTCCCACATTTTCTGGTAGAAACACACAACAGCAATGAAGGAAAAAAAAGGAAGCTCTCAAAGAAGTTAATGCTTTGTTCCAGGTTATCTAGCAGAATCGAGAGCTAACCCACAACTTACATCTCAAGTTTGGTAGTTAATCTCATAATTTTTTAAAAATGAAAACAGCCAGGATTTATGCAGTTCCAAGAGCCAGCCGGGTAAAATATAGACCCAACTCTGTTTTGGTGAATGGAGGGGAGATGAGAAGAGAAAAACCTCCCAGAACAAAGGAGGAGGTATAATTATGTTTGCCTCAGAGAAAACTGGGAGAGAAACCATTCATCTTCCATTCATTCATCTTCCGTTCCCAGATCTTGGAAGAATAGTCACTGTAATGTGGGGGCTAGAAGCATTGGCTTATGAAGTGGACAGGCAAAGGTAGGTTTTCAGCTCCACCACATCCTAGCTAGGTAAACTTGGACAAGTTGCTTAAACTCTCCACTACTCCAAGAGGTTACAGATCACTGAAAGTACAGACATTGGCAAGTATTTTTTGGAAACACATTATGGGTCCTAAGGACTATAATATAGTCTATAAATCTGGAATTTTATGCTGGAAAATACAACTTGTTTTCAAATGGAAAATGATTGTGTTTTGTATAAAACAACAGAGTCACATTTTAAGACCAGGCTGGATAACATAACAAGACCCCTTCTCTACAAAAAATAATAAAAATAAGCCAGTTATAAAGAGAGCTGAATAATAACAAAAGAAAAAAGAAAAAAATTAGCTAGGTGTGGTGGTGTGTTTGGGAGGCTGAGGCAGGAGGATCACTAGGGATCAGGAAATCATGACCAGCCTGGGCAACATAGCAAGACTCCCATCTCTACCAAAAAAAAAAAAATTGTTTTTAATTAGCTGGGCATGGCAGTGTGCTTGGAAGGCTGTGGTGGGAGGATCACTTGAGCCCAGGAGTTTGAGGTTATGGTGAACTATGATTGCAGCATTGCACTCCAGTCCAGGCAACAGAGCAAGACAGTGTCTCTGAAAATAAAAATAAAACAGCAGAGTCACATTTTCAAATTGTAGATGCCAACCTCTTCTTTCCCAGGCCTGACTGCCTCACACACTTTGTTTAGTATAGAGCACTTCCCCATAAGCCACCAAGCCCCAGTTATGGCGTAATTCAAACCCTGCCCCTAGAATTTCATGTAGGAGGGTCACAGGTCTGTGTGCTCAGCAAATGTTTGCTGTCCTCTGCTGGGAATTTTGTTCCAGGTCACACTAACAGGGCAGATACTTGGCAGCCTGTGACCAGGTCCAGCCCACTCATTGGTCAGATGGAAATTTTCTTTCCAGTTTGGAGGAGGGAGCAACTGGAGAAAGCTTATCCAAGGTTCATCGCTGTGACATTTTTCCTGCTTTGTGGACCCCATTTCTGCTTGTGACCAGTGATCAAATTTTATACATACTTAGACATATTTTGAAGACATGAGTACCCTACTGTTTCACGTAGACCTCTGGGAACTGTCAAACTTCTTTCCTACCAAATTCCTTTTTTCTTTTTTTTTTAGACAGAGTCTCACTCACTCTGTTACCCAGGCTGGAATGCAGTGGTGCGATCTCAGCTCACTGCAAACTCTGCCTCCTCAGGTTCAAATGATTCTCCTAACTCAGTCTCCCGAATAGCTGGGATTACAGGTGCACGACACCATGCCCAGCTAATTTTTGTATTTTTAGTAGAGACGGGGTTTCACCATGTTGGCCAGGATGGTCTCCAACTCCTGACCTCAAGTAATTCACCCGCCTCAGCCTCCCAAAGTGCTGGGATTACAGGCGTGAGCCACTGCGCCCAGCCCTTGGCTACCAAATATCTAAAGATAGAAGAAAGGATGAGATTAATGATAGACTAAGAAGAGTTTGGGAATGCCTGTTGGTAATTAGGGTGGACTGTCTTTGGAAATAATAATAGGTAACAAATATGTGTTTTCTCTATGTCATGTGCTGTGTTAAATACAGGATCTTATTCAAAGCTCAGCCCTCATTTTGGAGACAAGGAAACTGAGGCTCAAAGAGGTTAAGCAACTTGTCCAAGGTTACCTAGCTAGGTGGTGGAGCTGAAAACCTACTTATGCCTGTCTATTTCATAAGCCAATGCTTCTAGCCCCCATGTTACAGTGACTACTCTTCCAAGGTCTGGGAATGGAAGACGAATGAATGGAAGATGAATGGTTTCTCTCCCGGTTTTCTCTGAGGCAAACATAATTATACTTCTTCCTCTGTTCCTGGAGGTTTTTTCTTCTCATATCACCTTTATTCAACAAAACAGAATGGGTCTATATTTTATCCAGCTGGCTCTTGGAACCACATAAATCCTGGTTGTTTTCATGGAAAAAAAAAAAAGAAAGAACAGAAAAAGTACAGCTTGCTATCTTATCCCACATGAATATCAGATGTGCAAAGTCAGCTATAAATAAGAGGATATTTTGGCCAGGCACATTGGCTCACGCCTGTAATCCCAGTGCTTAGGGAGGCCTAGGCGGGCTGATCACTTAAGGTCAGGAGTTCAAGATCAGCCTGGCCAACATAGCGAAACCCCGTCTCTACTAAAAATACTAAAAAAAAAAAAAAAATTAGCCGGGCATGGTGGCAGGTGCCTGTAGTCTCAGCTACTCAGGAGGCTGACCCAGGAGAATCACTTGAACCCAGGAGGCAGAGGTTGTGGTGAGCTGAGATTGCGCTACTGCACTCCTGCCTGGGTGATAGAGTGAGACTTTGTCTCAAAACAAAACAACAAAACAAAAACAGGATATTTTTTAAAATGCTGAGAGTCCCTAATTCATTCTCAGGAAATTCAGTCTCCTACAAGCCAGATCATGCACAAATTCTCAGCATCACCTAAAGCCTAAGCCACCTCACCAAAGGGGGAGGGAGGGATCAGTTGTTACCATTTTGCAGTCAAAGCCCCAGGGTGTGTGTCTGAGAAGACTGAACTTGAGTAAATTAAGCTCTTCAGATAAATACGGTTTGCTGAAATTAAACATGAAACATTCTGCAAAAGTAGGTGTACTATCCGGAAGCCAAGTAATTAACATCAATGCAGGACCCCGGAACAGAAAAAGGTCATTAAAGGAAAAACTGGTGAAATCCAAATAAAGACTAGAGTTTAGTTCCTAGCAATGTGTCAGTGTTGGTTTCTCAGTTTTGACAAATGTGCCACAGTGGTGTAAGCTGTTAACATTAGGGGAAACCGGAACCGGGTGAGGGCGTGCCTGAGAATTATCTGTGCTAGCTTTGAAACATTTCTGTACATTTGGCTGAGCTCATGCCTATAATCCCAGCACTTTGGGAGGCCGAGGCGGGTGGATCACATGAGGTCAGGAGTTCAAGACCAGCCTGGCCAACATGGTGAACCCTCATCTCTACTAGGAGGTTGCAGTGAGCTGGGATTGTGCCACTGCACTCCAGCCTGGGTGACAGAGCAAGACTGCGTCTCAAAAGAAAAGAAATTTTTCTGTACATTTAAATTATGCCAAAATAAAAAGTTTAAAATTTCAGTACCAATGAACTGGTTTTCTTTCTTATAGGAATACTGAAGGGGGCTTGTAACACTTAAACTTCTTTCTCTGGAGACAGGGTCTCACTCTGTTGCCCAGGTTGGAATGCAGTGGCATGATCACAGCTCACTGCAGCCTCGACTTCCTGGACTCAGGTGTTTCTCCCACCTCAGCCTCCTGAGAAACTGGGACTACCAGTGCACGCCACCATGGCTGGCTAATTTTTTGTATTTTTTGTAGAGATGGGGTCTCACCATGTTGCCCAGGCTGGTCTTGAGCTCCTGAGTTCAAGGGATCCGCCCACCTCAACCTCCCAAAGCGCTGGGATTACAGGCATGACCCACCGCATCCGGCTAAGCTTCTCTCAAACAAGATAAAGCTTGCTTCTCTTGCTACCTTTGAACCTCAGCATAAAGAATAGTTACCAACAATGGAGAGTTTGTGCTTTCTTTTAAAAAAAAAAAGCAAAACCAGATGCAGAGCCAGGTCAGTGCCAAGTGAAAAAGAGCCATGCGATATCTTCGCATTTTTTGAATGAATCTTTTCCTTTTGTTGTCATGCCCTTTTAGTGTCATTTTTAATTGACTGGGCAAATGAACTGCAGCATTTTGTAGATGCCAAAGAGGTACTGAATTTCTTAGAACCCAAGTGCACACAAGTGAACTTCAGGAAGTTTTGCAACTTTTTTTCCAGAAAGTGGTGGGCAGCCACAGGACCGAAGGAAACACCCGTCAACATAACCAAGAGGATTTCCTGCCCACACACTCAGCGTCTCAACGTTATTTGAACGGTTTGTAGATGTCTTTCTTTAGAAATATACTAATAAAATTGGAAATACGGGATCAGTAGTCCTAGCAAACCAAAATGACTTCATCCATTTCTGGAGAATAATGAAGTCCTATGCATTCAAGTTGTTTTCTTTTTTCTTCTTTCTTTCTTTTTTTTTTTAAGACCTTTTCTTGGTTATGACAAATGTAACACAATAATTTTTTTTTTTTTGAGATGGAGTCTTGCTCTGTCGCCCAGGCTGGAGTGCAGTGGCACGATCTCAGCTCATTGCAACCTCCGCCTCCCAGGTTCAAGTGATTCTTCTGCCTCAGCCTCCCGAGTACCTGGGACTACAGGCGCTCGCCACCAAGCCCAGCTAATTTTTGCATTTTTAGTAGAGACAGGGTTTCACCATATTGGCCAGGCTGGTCTCGAACTCCTGACCTCGTGATCCACCCACTTTGGCTTCCCAAAATGCAGGGATTACAGGTGTGAGCCACCGCGCCTGGCTGTAACACAATAATTTAAGATGACAACATTCGAGGAAGTTAGAACTGAGAAGAGGGTACACAGCATTTTCTGCGAGATTGACTCAACTTTGATTCCATCAAGGAAACAAAAATATTGTATAGAAATTTACTCTTCATTCTCTCCCAAAACATTTAAGAGTTTTTCATTTTTCTTTGTAAGAATATAAAAGGTTTTCCTAAACTCTTTGCATTCTTTTCCTTTTTCTTCTTCTTTTTTTTTTTTTTTTTTTTTGAGACAGGGTCTCTCTCTGTCACCCAAGCTGGAGTGCAGTGGCACTACCACTACCATGCCTCACTGCAGCCTGGACCTCCTGGGCTCAAGTGATCCTTCCACCTCAGCCTTCCAAGTAGCTGGGACTGCAGGCATGCACCATGACTCCCGGCTAATTTTTGTATTTTTTGTAGAGACAGCGTCCCACTTCGTTGCCCAAGCTGGTCCAGAACTCCTGGAATATGCCCGCCTCGGATTTCCAAAGTGCTGGGATTATAGGCGTGAGCCACCTGCACCCGGCCTCTTTTTCCATTAATTGGTATGTTTAAAACAATGAGCAACATACCTTCCTTGCTAGAATCTGCCTCTTGACTCTAGCATTGGAATCTATAAAATACAATGCCAAGCAAAGGCATAGGACACGAGTCCTTTACAATGAGTGTTGAAATCATGGCATCAGGGACCCAGAATTCCTGAATTATATTCCTATTCTTTGCCCAAGCCATTTTTATTTTATTTTATTTTACTTTATTTAGAGATGGGGTCTCGCTCTATAGCCCAGGCTGGAGTGCAGTGGCATGATCATAGCTCACTGCAGCCATGAACTCCTGGGCTCAAGCTCAAGCAATCCTCCTGCCTCAGCCTCCCAGGTAGCTAGGACTACAGGCACAAGCCACCACACCTGGCTTCCCGAACAATTTTAAAATTCATTTAGTCAATAAACAGGGAGATGCAGAAATGAGTCAAAGAGCCTTCAAGGACCATACAGTGTAATCTGGAGATACAGACAGGTAACAGTGCTGCAGCTGTTATGTTGGAAGTTTGTGGGGGACATGTGGGAACAAAGCAGGTATAGATTGGAGTGGTGTTTGACCTGACTTGAGAGTAGTGATCTCAGTGGGGGAGATCTTGGCCCCCAGGGGACATTCTGCAATGTCCAAAGACAATTTTGGTTGTCACAACTTGGAGGAGGGGAGGGGTGCCACTGGCATCTGGTGGGCAGAGGCCAGGGATACTGTTAAACATCCTATAAGGGACAGAGCTGCCCCTCACCACAAAGAATTGTCCAGCCCCACATGTCAATAACACTGAGGTTGAGAAACTGTAGTTTAAACAAACAGAAGAAATGGGGTTTACCAGGCAAACTAAACAGAGAAGAATAATTCAGGGAAGTGGTAAGACAGGAGTGAGGGATGGACAGATAAGCTGGAGATGTAATCTGTATGCTTAAGCTGATTATTTTTTCCCTTTGAACCTTAATTTTCCCATTCACAAAATAGTGATGCTATAATGTGGAATGACTCACCTCTTTTCCTGGTATCAGAAGAAAGTGCCACTGATAAAAATTGTGTGCCTGGGTCCCACCTACTTCTAATTGTCCTGCTCAAGCCTACCTGTTCCTCAGCAGTGCTGGTAGCTTATTGATGAGAACAAAGACGGTACTTGGGAAATCTAAGGAAGGGCAATGTGGCAGGTAAAATTGTCAGTAAGCCGGGCGTGGTGGCTCACGCCTGTAATCCCAGCACTGTGGGAGGCCGAGGCAGGCTGATCACCTGAGGTTGAGACTTCGAGACCAGCCTGACAAACATGGAGAAACCTCGTCTCTACTAAAAATACAAAATTAGCCGGGCACGGTGGCGCATGCCTGTAGTCCCAGCTACTCGGGAGGCTGAGGCAGGAGAATGGCGTGAACCCAGGAGGCGGAGCTTCCAGTGAGCCGAGATTGCGCCACTGCACTCCAGCCTGGGCGACAGAGCAAGACTCGGTCTCAAAAAAAAAAAAAAAATTGTCAGTAAAAGCGAGGACTGTATTTAATGGCATGTAACAAGAACCCAGCTACCACAGGAATTATAATTCTTATGTAATGTGACATCTGGAAATGGGCAGTCTAGAGCTAAATGGCCACTCCATGGTGCCATCAGGAGCCCAGACTCCTTCTGTCTTTCCCCTCTGACGTCCTTAGCATGTGACTCCAATCCGCATATTTGTGAGATGGCGGCTGAACCTCTCAATCTTTGGAAGTTTCATCAGCATTCCAGGCAAGGAAGAGGGGAAAAAAGGAAAAGAGCAACAGGCAAAAGGTGAAAGCCTTCCCAGTTGAGTCTCCTCCACTTAACAAACTTTCCTGGAATCGTCTGTGCCCAGAACTTCCACGTATGTATACATTGGCCTGAACCACATTATGTAACTATCCATAAACTCCAGGGAGTCTGGAAGCTGAGTGTTTTCAAGTGGGCATCTTGAACAAAATAGTTTTTTTTAATAAGGAAGAAAAAGTATAATAGGTGCCGTGTAGGTAACTAGAACTGTTGCCTTAGTGCTTTAAAATGAGTACATTCAGGGCCAGGAGCGGTGGCTCACGCCTGTAATTCCAGCACTTTGGGAGGCCGAGGGGGGTGGATCACCTGAGGTTGGGAGTTCAAGACCAGCCTCACCCACATGGAGAAACCCCGTCTCTACTAAAAATACAAAATTAGCTGGGCATGGTGGCACATGCCTGTAATTCCAGCTACTTGGGAGGCTGAGGCAGGAGAATCGCTTGAACCCAGGAGGCAGAGGTTGGGGTGAGCTGAGATGGCGCCATTGCACTCCAGCCTGGGCAACAAGAGTGAGACTCCGTCTCAAAAAAAGAAAAAAAAAATGAGTTCATTCAGCTGGGAGCGGTAGCTCATGCCTGTAATTCCAGCACTTTGGGAGGGTGAGGCGGGTAGATCACCTGAGGTCAGGAATTCGAGACCAGCCTGGCCAATGTAACAAAACCCCGTCTCTACTAAAAATACAAACAAACAAAAGAAATTAGCCAGGCATGATGGTGCATGCCTGTAATCCCAGCTACTTAGGAGGCTGAGACGGGAGAATCATTTGAACCCGGGAGGCGAAAGCTCCAGTGAGCCGACATCATGCCACTGCACTTCAGCCTGAGTGACAGAGTAAGACCCTGTCTCAAAATATAATAAAATAAAATAAAGCATATTGCAGATAATGTAACCATTCAATAGTCATTCGAAAATATTTATTGAATGCCAAGTATGTACTCAGCACTATCGTAAGCACAGAACACACAAAAAATGGAACCACGAATAACCCTAGCTTCTGCGTCTAATGAGCTTGTTGAAATCCAGTTGGGAAAAACATACAACATAAACAATAAGAAGTTGGACAACCATGAAAGAGTTAAATAACAATCTATAATAGCAATATAAAAAAGCAGTACATCACTGGTGGGAATGTAAAATGGTATAACCTATAGCCACTTTGGAAAGCTGCTAAGTTTCTAAAAAATTTAAACATAGTATTTACCATATGATACTGCAATTCCACTTATAGGTATTTACCTAAGAGAAATGAAAATATAAAGATTTCGCCAGGTCCCGTGGCTCACGCCTATAATCCCAACGCTTTGGGAGCCCAACTTAGGTGGATTACCTGAGGTCAGGAGTTCCAGACCAGGCTGGCCAACATGGTGAAACTCTGTCTCTACTAAAAATACAAAAATCAACCAGGCTTGGTGGCTTGTACCCGTAATCCCAGCTACTCGGGAAGCTGAGGCAGGAGAATCAAGAGTCGGAGGTTGCAGTAAGACAGTGAGCTGAGATCGTGCCACTGCACTCCAGCCTGGGCAACAAAGCGAGATTCCATCTCAAAAAGAAAAAAAAAAGTGAGAATGTTTCTTAATTGAAAAAACATAGGCCTGTCTGGGCACAGTGGCTCACACCTGTAATCCCAACACTTTGGGAGGCCGAGGCGGGCGGATCACAAGGTCAGGAGTTCTATACCAGCCTGTCCAACATGGTGAAACCGTCTCTACTAAAAAAACAAAAATTAGATGGGTATGGTGGCAGGCGCCTGTAATCCCAGGTACTCGGGAGGCTGAGGCAGGAGAATTGCTTGAACCCAGGAGGCGGAGTTTGCAGTGAGCCGAGATCGCGCCACTGCACTCCAGCCTGGGTGACAGAGGGAGACTCTGTCTCGAAAAAAAGAAAAAACATAAGTCCTTGGTTGGGAGGAAAGTTGTACTGTTCAAATTTTTTCTGTCTGCTCCCTCTGTTGATTCTGAGAATTGTATTTATCTCCCATTGTGATTTGTGGATCATTTTCATCATTTCAGTCTTTGTTTTATACATTTCTTTTCTTTTCTTTTTTTGAGACAGAGTTTCACTCTTGTTGCCCAGGTTGGAGTGCAATGGTGCGATCTCGGCTCACTGCAACCTCCCCTTCCCGGGTTCAAGTGATTCTCCTGCCTCAGCCTCCTGAGTAGCTGGGATTACAGGCGCCCACCACCACGCCCAGCTAATTTTTGTTATTTTTAGTAGAGATAGCTGTTGGGAGCAAGCCCCCCAAAGTCTGGTCATAAACTGGCCCCAAAACTGGCCATAAATAAAATCTCTGCAGCAATGTAACATGTCCATAATGGCTATAACGCCCAAGCTGGAAGGCTGTGGGTTTACGGAAATGAGGGCAAGGAACACCTGGCCTGCCCAGGGCGGAAAACTGCTTAAAGGCATTCTTAAGCCACAAACAATAGCATAAGCAATTCATGCCTTAAGAGCATGCTCCCGCTGCAGTTAACTAGCCCAACCTATTTCTTTAATTCAGCCCATCCCTTCGTTTCCCTTAAGGGATACTTTTAGTTAATTTAATATCTATAGAAACAATGCTAATGACTGGTTTGCTGTTAATAAATATGTGGGTAAATCTCTGTTCAGGGTTCTCAGCTCTGAAGGTTGTAAGATCCCTGATTTCCCACTTCACACCTCTATATTTCCTTTTTTTTTTTTTTTTTTTTTGAGACAGAGTCTCACTCTCGCCCAGGCTGGAGTGCAGTGGCACGATCTCTGCTCACTGCAAGCTCCGCCTCCCGGGTTCACGCCATTCTCCCGCCTCAGCCTTCCGAGTAGCTGGGACTACAGGCGCCCGCCACTACGCCCGGCTAATTTTTTGTATTTTTAGTAGAGACGGGGTTTCACCGTGTTAGCCAGGATGGTCTTGATCTCCTGACTTCGTGATCCGCCTGCCTCGGCCTCCGAAAGTGCTGGGATTACAAGCGTGAGCCACCGCGCCCGGCCTCACACCTCTATATTTCTGTGTGTGTGTCTTTAATTCCTCTAGCACTGCTGGGTTAGGGTCTCCCTGACCGAGCTGGTCTCGGCAGATAAGGTTTCACCATGTTGGCCAGGCTGGTCTCAAACTCCTGACTTCAGGGGATCCCCGCCCCAGCCTCCCAAAGAGCTGGGATTACGGGCATGAGTCACCGTGCCCAGCCAATTTTCTTTTGTTTTTTCTTTTGAGACAGGATCTCACTCTGTCACCCAGGCTTGAATGCAGTGGTACCATCTCGGCTCACTGCAGCCTCAATCTTCTGGGCTCAAATGATCCTCCCACCTTAGCCTCCCGAGCAGCTGGGGCTACAAGTGCACACTACCAAGCCCAGCTAATTTTTTTTTTTTTTTTTTTTTTTTGAGACAGAGTCTTGCTGTGTCCCTCACCCAGGTTGGAGAGCAGTGGTTCGATCTTGGCTCACTACAACCTCTGCCTCCCGTGTTCAAGCAATTCTCGTGCCTCAGCCTCCTCAGTAGCTGGGATTACAGGCACGTGCCACCATGCCCAGTTAATTTTTGTATTTTTAATAGAGACGGGGTTTCGCCATGTTGACCAGGCTGGTCTTGAACCCCTGACCTCAGCCTCCCAAAGTGCTGAGATTACAGGTGTGAGCCGACATGCTAGGCCTATACATTTCAAAATTATGTTGCTATGTTCATAAAGATGTATATATGGTAACTTGTACCTTCAATCAACATGAAATACCCTTCTTTGTCCTTTTAATGCCTTTATGATAAATTCTGTCTCATATTAATATTGCTACATATGCTTTCTTTCCATAAACATTTCCATAAACATAAAAATGGCTGGTAAGTCATTTTCCTTTTTTTTAAAAAAATTTTTGTTTTTTAGAGGCAGGAGCTCATTCTGTCTCCCAGGTTGGAGTACAATGGTTCAATCATAGCTCATAGTTTACTGCAGCCTCGAACTCCTGGGTTCAAGGGATCTTACCACCTCCGTCTTCCGAGCAGCTGGGACTACAGGTGCAAGTCACCACGCCTGGTTAATTTTTTTAAATTTTTTGTAGAGACAAGGTCACAATATGTTTCCCAGCCTGGTCTTGAACTCCTGGCCTCAAGCAATCCTCCTGCCTTGAGAAATATAGTAAACAAAAAATGTGAAATAACATGGCAGAAATAAGTCCAAATAAATAAATAATCAAAAATAAATACAAATGATTTATATTCTCTTCTTAAAAGAGAGCTCTGAGAAACCCCAAAGCCAGCTATATGTTGTTTATAAAGAGACATACATAAAACAAAACAGCATGATTAAGAAGATAATATAACCCATTCACATTTATGTTTTATTATTTATATATTTGGACTTATTCCTGCCATGTTATTTTCTGTTTTCTGCTTACCAGTGTACAGTATTTTTCTGTTTTCCCTTTTCTGGAATGCCTATTTATTTCTGTTCCTGTTTTGTCCACCCTTTCCTGACTGATTCTTTCTGAATAATGACTTTTTTTTTTTTTTTTTTTTTTTTTGAGAAAGTCTCACTCTGTTGACCAGGCTGGAGTGCAATGGCACAATCTTGGCTAATTGCAACCTCTGCCTCCCAGGTTCAAGACATTATCCTGCCTCAGCCTCCCCAGTAGCTGAGATTACAGGCGCCCCCCACCATGTCCGGCTAATT
This sequence comes from Homo sapiens, assembly GCF_000001405.40. NCBI lineage: Eukaryota > Metazoa > Chordata > Mammalia > Primates > Hominidae > Homo > Homo sapiens. Next base: position 28,803,380 of record NC_000022.11, on the reverse strand, counting down.
TTTGTATTTTTAGTAGAGACTGGGTTTCACCATGTTGGCCAGGCTGGTCTCGAACTCCTGATCTCAGGTGATCTGCCCACCTCGGCCTCCCAAAGTGCTGGGATTACAGGGGTGAGCCACCGCGTTTGGCCTCAAAGACCGAGAACTTTGTAATTTATATATTTTATAGCTCTTATCACAGGTGTCTAGTAAATATTTTTAAACACTTATGGCACCTGATGCAAGAATTACCAGGTTCATTTTATAGAGAGGATATGAAACTGTCCAAGGGTTTGGACTCACATGTTCAAGACTGCATGGACAGCAATCTGTAGTGGGTCAAATTATTGTTTTTAGTATGATTTAAAGTGTTTGTCAAAAATATAAAAGTTTTGAAAACAAGCTGGGGAAGTGAATTTCAATATCGCATTAACTAAGATCAAAGTGCAATTCATCAACCTTTTTTCCCCATCCCGCACCCTGTGCTTTCTCTACTCAGTTACTCACTACACCCTGCTGGACTAAAAGGGTCCTCCAGCATTTTCTTTCTTACACAGTGAAAGACATTCTCTTGGCATTAATAAATGTTCACTTAATAAATAAAAAGGGCCGGGCTCTGTGGTTCCTGCCTGCAATCCCAGCAGTTTGGGAGGCCAAGGCAAGAGGATCGCTTGAGCCTAGGAGTTCCAGCCTAGGCAACGTGGCGAAACCCAGTCTCAAAAAAAAAAAAAAGGAAAAAAAAGGCATCAAAAAATAAAACGTAACAGGTGGCATGACATGACATGACTTTTCTAACAGCCTCTTACAGCTTTCCAAGGTCTTTTAATATGAAGCTATAGGTCTCGGCTAGAAGACACCTCCAGACTTCTCCCAAAACATTTCAGAGGCCCGGAGTAAGTCTCCCCACATCTGAAGGCACATCAGAACCCAGGTGGCCCAAGCTGATGAGAGTTAAACAGGAAGTTGGTTTCTTGGTCCGGCAGAGACTCCAATCACCCCCACCTCTTTTCCAACCCACAGGACAGCACGTGCTCAGGAGGCTCTGGAGTTGGGACAGCCCAGTTAAAAAAAAAAAAATCATTGATTTCCCTCCCAACGAAGAGGGAGAAAACACGTTAGGAGACTCGTGGCCCAGTCCTGGCAAAAACCAAAACTATGTCCCTTTAGAGGGCTTAGATATCAAGAGATGGACTTGCTTTTAGTTCTTTTTCCCATCCTGTTCCCTCCCTACCAAAATAAAATTGACCAGCTAATCCGACTTAATAACACTAAAGAATTACTTAGGAACCTGCTATCTTAACATTTCACTTTTTGCATATCCTCCAAATACCAGGTAGCAGTCTTACTACTGTTTGCACCCCTAGAACCTGGAATAGTGCTGCCCGCAGAGGAGGAAGCAATAATTACTTGTTAGAGAAGGTATTGCTGTGCATTTCTGGGGAATTTCACATTTTGTAATTTGCTTTAAAAAAAGTGGACAGGCATATTTACGGGGGTTTCTCGGACTTCTCCATGTTAATATTCGTGTGTATAAATCGCTCCCGTGCTGCTCTCTGGGGGCCCCTCTTTCACAAACACCTGGCCACCCTCACGCCACAATGGCCAGGCAGGAACCTCGACCTCCCCTCGGAGAGGGGGCTCAGGGTCAACCCCGGGGTCTCAGTCTCTACATGTGACGTTTTCCTGTCCCCTCATTTAAAATAACAAGAGGCTGGGCGCAGTGGCTTACGCCTGTAATCCCAGCACTTTGGGAGGCCGAGGCGGGCGATCACGAGGTCAGGAGATGGAGACCATCCTGGCCAACACGGTGAAACCCCGCCTCTACTAAACTACAAAAAATTAGCCGGGTGTGGTGGCGGGCGCCTGTAGTCCCAGCTACTCGGGAGGCTGAGGCAGGAGAATTGCTTGAACCCGGAGGCGAAGGTTGCAGTGAGCTGAGATCTCGCCACTGCACTCCAGCCTGGTGACAGAGCCTGACTCCGTCTCAAAAAATAAGAAAAAAAAATAAAATAAAAATAATAGAGGCCGAAGCGGGAGGTTCACTTGAGCTCAGAAGTTCGAGATCAGCCTGGGCAACACAGTGAGACCTCGTTTCTATTTAAAAAATAAAATAAAACTAAATTTAAAAAAATGCACGCTCATAGTACAAACTTTAGAAATGGAACGAAAAACTAAAATTGAAGGTATTCCCCTCCAACCCAGAGATAACACCTATCGTTTATTAAGCCCTCACTATTGTTAAACTTAGTTTTAAAGGGCACGATCTCATTTCTTAAAGACTTCTATTCCGCAGAATTTCTTTCCAGGCTTTTTTCTTTTTCTTTTTTTGAGACGGAGTCTCGCTCTGTCGCCCAGGCCGGGGTGCAGTGGCGCGATCTCGGCTCACTGAAACCTCTGTCCAGTCTTTTCGAACCCAAGGCCCAACTGCGCTCTATCTCGACTTTCGGCTCCACTCGGATCCCGAAGTGGCGCACGAGATAAAATGTTGTCAGGCTGAGGTAATTCTCTGTTAGTCCCGGTAAAAATTCGTCAGTCTGGAAAGCTCTCGGTTTGGAATTAAATTCTGTCACTCCGGATGGAAATAAGTCCGCTTAAGGGGGGAAAATCCGTTTGTGGAGGACACGCTCCCGCACGTAACCCCCCGCGGAAAATGACCCCAAGTACCTTTGGCCAGGGATTGCCGCTGCCACGCCGGACTCCATAGCCACGGTCCTGAAACGCCCCGCCGGGCAGGCCGGACCAATGGACGCCGAGCTCGGCCGTGCGTCACGCGACGCTGGCCAATCGCGGAGGGCCACGACCGTAGAAAGGCCGGGCGCGGCGAGGCTGGGCGCTGGGCGGCTGCGGCGCGCGGTGCGCGGTGCGTAGTCTGGAGCTATGGTGGTGGTGGCAGCCGCGCCGAACCCGGCCGACGGGACCCCTAAAGTTCTGCTTCTGTCGGGGCAGCCCGCCTCCGCCGCCGGAGCCCCGGCCGGCCAGGCCCTGCCGCTCATGGTGCCAGCCCAGAGAGGGGCCAGCCCGGAGGCAGCGAGCGGGGGGCTGCCCCAGGCGCGCAAGCGACAGCGCCTCACGCACCTGAGCCCCGAGGAGAAGGCGCTGAGGAGGTGGGCGAGGGGCCGGGGTCTGGGGCCAGATCTGAAGCCGGGACTAGGGACAGGGGCAGGGGCAGGGGCTGGGAGCGGGGACCCAGCACTGGCCGCCCCGCAGGGCTCCGTCGCCTTTGGCCTGGCGGGTCGGTGCCAGCGTGGCGCGGGGCGGGGCAGGAAGCCCGGACTGACCGGATCCGCCACGCTGGGAACCTAGGGCGGCCCAGGGCTCTTTTCTGTACTTTTTAACTCTCTCGTTAGAGATGACCAGAGCTGGGGATGCGGGCACCTGTCTTCCAGGCCCTCTTGCTGTGTGGCCGCAGACTGGTGGTTCAGCCTCTTAACTCGGACATGAGGTCGAATAATCTGTTTTGGTTTACTGCTATTTCTGGAGAGGCGCGGAGCTGAAATAACAGAGCTGTTGAAAGGGCTGGGAATTCTGCGAGGCTCACTGGTCTAGCTCAGTATCTGCGTTCTTAAAATGGAACCTACTTCATGAGGTCTTTGGGGAGATTGAGACTTGGATATAATGTGCCTAGCACTTAGTCCTCCGTAAATGTTCACTCTTTTGTGATCATTGTGCCTTCTGTGATTTATGAAGTGTCTCTTCTGAGTTAATTCTTTTAAAAAAAAAAGTGTCTCCTCCAACAGACACGGACCCATCAGCAGGTCACTGCCTAGGATCTCAACACTAGAGATCAGGGAGTGGCATCAGCCTCTCCCTTTTCTAAATTGGACTGGGGGACGGAGGGTTGATGTCATAGCAAGATTGCAGCCTTCACTAGATTAATGAGGCCAGGTTGGATCCTGTTTAAGAGAACTGGAGACAGGAAGCAGCGGGGGAATAGATGGGGAAAGAGGAAAGTTCCTTATGATGCAAGATGAATAGTGTGTGTGTCCAGCCCCAGTGCTGTGACGGGGATGAGTCTGAGGTGGACGGATGATGCAATATAGGAGAGAATAAAGCAGGTCTTCGAGCTAGATTGACAGAAGACTGTATTTTTTATTTTGTTTTATTGAGGGGAGGAGCCTGAAGTGTATTTTATCATTAGTCTGTCTTATACTGTAAATAAAAATGAAAGCACCAGCTGGTAAAGTTTTCAAATAAAGACATAAATAAGGTTTGATATGACTCAGTGTGGTATGTTCCTTCTCTTCCTAGGAAACTGAAAAACAGAGTAGCAGCTCAGACTGCCAGAGATCGAAAGAAGGCTCGAATGAGTGAGCTGGAACAGCAAGTGGTAGATTTAGAAGAAGAGGTAAAACTACTTAAGGTCAAACTCTTTTATCCATTGTATACCCTTCCTTGGTGAATGTTCTGATATTTGCTTCCCATCCCAAGTTGTTTCAGCCCCTATTAGAATACAATTGAATATATGATTAAAAGTTAAACTAGGCTGGGCATGGTGGCTCATGCCTGTAATCCCAGCACTTTGGGAGCCTGAGTTGGGCAGATCACTTGAAGCCAGCAGTTTGAGACCAGCCTAGCCAACATGGTAAAATCCCGTCTCTACCCAAAAATATACCAAAAAAAAAAAAAAAAAAAAGGCCAAGCGTGAGTGCCTGTAGTCCCAGCTACTCGGGAGGTTGAGGTGGGAGGATTGTTTGAACCTGGGAGAGGGAGGTTGCAGTGAGCTGAGATCGCACCACTGCACTCCAGCCTGGGCAACAGAGTGAGACTCTGTCTCAAGAAAAAAAAAAAAAGTTTGCTGGGCACCGGGGCTCACACCTGTAATCCCAGCACTTTGGGAGGCCAAGGTGGGTAGATAACTTGAGATCAGGAGTTCGAGACCAGCCTGACCAACGTGGTGAAACCCCATCTCTATTAAAAATACAAAAATTAGCCGGGTGTCGTGGCAGGCACCTGTAATCCCAGCTGCTCCGGAGGCTGACGCAGGAGAATCACTTGAACCCAGGAGGCGGAGGTTGCAGTGAGCTGAGATCACGAGATCATGCCACTGCACTCCAGTCTGGGCGACAGAGCAAAAACCCTGTCTCAAAAAAAAAAAAAAAGTTAATCTAAGTTAGGACAGAGAGTTGGTGAAGTGGTGAAGCTTGTTGAGGGCAGAAGTGATTGACTTTGTGGCATTTGGTGCTAGATGTATCTCAAAGTAGATGGATTTAACAATGTTTATTGAGTTTGTAGTAAGAAATTAGCAAGGGCTAATAGGAAATAATTGCTTAAACTTTACATTCTTCCTGGCATGGCCAGAAATTCACTAAAGGTTCCTTTCCCCCTCTAGGGTCCACCTGTTAATCAATCTTAAATTGTTGCCAATTACACATCTTGAATACATAGAGATTATTTATATTGTTTTTTTAACCCCTTGGTCAATTTGCATATATTGAGCTTTTTAAAGTTTTAATCATTAGTTGGTTCTTCTAAGAATCATGAGTCAGGAGCAGGGATTTTTTTTAACTTATTTTGGATTTATAGTCACCACTACCACTTTTATTATTACCTGCCAGTTCAAGATAGTTATTTATTTTTATTTTATATTATTATTATTATTATTATCATCATCATTATTTTGAGATGGAGTCTCACTCTGTTGCCCAGGCTGGAGTGCAGTGGTGCAATCTCGGCTCACTGCAACCTCTGCCTCCCAGGTTCAAGCAATTCTCCCTGCTTCAGCCTCCAGATTAGCTGGGATTACAGGCACCCCTCACCACATCCAGCTAATTTTTGGATTTTTTAGTAGAGATGGGGGTTTGCCATGTTGGCCAGGCTGGTTTTGAACTCTTGACCTCAGGTGATCCACCTGCCTTGGCCTCCCAAAGTGTTAGGATTACAAGTGTGAGCCACCGAGCCTGGCCAAGATAGTTTAAAAAAAAAATTATATCTACATTAAAGCCACAAGTCACCCTTTGCTGAAGTCAGTATTAGTAGTTGGAAGCAGTGTGTTATTCTTGACCCCATGAAGTGGCACTTATTAAGTAGCTTGCTTTTCCATAATTATGGCCTAGCTTTTTAAAACCTACTATGAACACCACAAGCATAGAGTTTTCCAAAAGTTCAAGAAGGAAAGGAAACCAATTATACTGAATCAGGTAGATTCTTAACTGAAATAATTAGATGTTTTAATAGCCTCTTATGAACTTTCTTCCAGAACCAAAAACTTTTGCTAGAAAATCAGCTTTTACGAGAGAAAACTCATGGCCTTGTAGTTGAGAACCAGGAGTTAAGACAGCGCTTGGGGATGGATGCCCTGGTTGCTGAAGAGGAGGCGGAAGCCAAGGTAAATCATCTCCTTTATTTGGTGCCTCATGTGAGTACTGGTTCCAAGTGACATGACCCAGCGATTATGTTTACAGTCTGGACTTCTGATCAAGAGCGTTCTTGAAATTTTCCTTCAGTTTTAAGACATTTTCATGCAGGCAGAGTGTTCTTCCCCTAAAGGCACTTGACACTCATTTTTTAAGTGTGTAGTGAACAGTACTAAGATCTAATAATGAAAACAAGTTACATGGCTCCCTAAGAACAAGTACTAACAAATGCAGTAGCCAACAAGATTACCATGCAATCATTAAGGAGAACCAAAGTAAGAGAGCCACTCAAACCAGATTTTGAACGCTACTAAAATTAAAGTAGTTCTTTGATGAATATGAATGAGTAGGGAAAGGATTCTTTGTAATAGTGATACCTCTGTGGTAAGAGAAGGGTGGTATGTGAGTTTTAGTCTACAGATTATGGCAAATTCAGTGACAACAATCAAATGGTCTAAGATTGACAGTAGCACAGTTTTACTCTGTGAAGGTAATGTTCAGGACAAATTTCAAGAAAACTAGAAAACCATTCTTTACAGCTGAAATCTTTCCCTAACCATTGTTATTTCCACTTTTAAGTCCTCAAGAGATGAGAAAAGGGAGGTAAGGCTTCCTTATACATTTCCTGCACAATGAAACATTTTTCCTCCTCCAGGCAAAGATTCAAGCAGAACTGGCAAATATCTTATCTTGCTCTTCTCAATAATAATAATGTTGTTAGATAATAAAGTTCTATAGCAATTTAACCCTAGAATCTTTTTGAAAAGTAATTCTTTAAAGTTGAGAATCACAGCTGTCTAGCAAGCATTTCCTTGGGCACTTGAAGCTGTTTATTCACTTTGGTCTTTCCTCCCAGGGGAATGAAGTGAGGCCAGTGGCCGGGTCTGCTGAGTCCGCAGCACTCAGACTACGTGCACCTCTGCAGCAGGTGCAGGCCCAGTTGTCACCCCTCCAGAACATCTCCCCATGGATTCTGGCGGTATTGACTCTTCAGATTCAGAGGTAGGGATCATTCTGACTTATTAAAGAGCTATATAACCAGTTAATTCCATCTGTTTGATGCTTGACATCCCTAACTAGACAGATGAGGGTTGAAGTTAGTTTTTGGTGGGGTTGGAGGTGAACATCAACTACCTTCCTAGTTCCAGGTAATATAGAACATGGAGTGAAGTGTAGATAAATGGGTCTGGTGGGTCCCGAGGTCATCTTATCACATAATGACTAATTTACATTATGGAACCCAGTACAAAGTGTTCCAGTTAGATTTTCCATTGTATTCTGACAGTTGTACTTCATTTAATTTTTGCCTCTTACAGTCTGATATCCTGTTGGGCATTCTGGACAACTTGGACCCAGTCATGTTCTTCAAATGCCCTTCCCCAGAGCCTGCCAGCCTGGAGGAGCTCCCAGAGGTCTACCCAGAAGGACCCAGTTCCTTACCAGCCTCCCTTTCTCTGTCAGTGGGGACGTCATCAGCCAAGCTGGAAGCCATTAATGAACTAATTCGTTTTGACCACATATATACCAAGCCCCTAGTCTTAGAGATACCCTCTGAGACAGAGAGCCAAGCTAATGTGGTAGTGAAAATCGAGGAAGCACCTCTCAGCCCCTCAGAGAATGATCACCCTGAATTCATTGTCTCAGTGAAGGAAGAACCTGTAGAAGATGACCTCGTTCCGGAGCTGGGTATCTCAAATCTGCTTTCATCCAGCCACTGCCCAAAGCCATCTTCCTGCCTACTGGATGCTTACAGTGACTGTGGATACGGGGGTTCCCTTTCCCCATTCAGTGACATGTCCTCTCTGCTTGGTGTAAACCATTCTTGGGAGGACACTTTTGCCAATGAACTCTTTCCCCAGCTGATTAGTGTCTAAGGAATGATCCAATACTGTTGCCCTTTTCCTTGACTATTACACTGCCTGGAGGATAGCAGAGAAGCCTGTCTGTACTTCATTCAAAAAGCCAAAATAGAGAGTATACAGTCCTAGAGAATTCCTCTATTTGTTCAGATCTCATAGATGACCCCCAGGTATTGTCTTTTGACATCCAGCAGTCCAAGGTATTGAGACATATTACTGGAAGTAAGAAATATTACTATAATTGAGAACTACAGCTTTTAAGATTGTACTTTTATCTTAAAAGGGTGGTAGTTTTCCCTAAAATACTTATTATGTAAGGGTCATTAGACAAATGTCTTGAAGTAGACATGGAATTTATGAATGGTTCTTTATCATTTCTCTTCCCCCTTTTTGGCATCCTGGCTTGCCTCCAGTTTTAGGTCCTTTAGTTTGCTTCTGTAAGCAACGGGAACACCTGCTGAGGGGGCTCTTTCCCTCATGTATACTTCAAGTAAGATCAAGAATCTTTTGTGAAATTATAGAAATTTACTATGTAAATGCTTGATGGAATTTTTTCCTGCTAGTGTAGCTTCTGAAAGGTGCTTTCTCCATTTATTTAAAACTACCCATGCAATTAAAAGGTACAATGCAGCATCCTTGTTTGATTTCTTCTAGGGCCGTAAGTCTTGTTTTCTCTCCAGATGTTTATCTGTGTGCTGTGGTAGGAATTAATCCAACTGAAGTGAGCCTAACGCTTTTTAAAGTGACTGAAGGCTTTTCCACCTTAATTACTGCCTGCTTTAATTCTGGACTGCCATAAGTGATATAAGCTATAATTTGAGCAGTTACTGTCTTTCTGAGACAGATTCTTGAGCCTAACTGACCAATATCACAGCTAGTAAGTGGAAGAGCTAGAACCCTAACCACTATTTGCTACACCATCTTATAAATGTTAAACAAGGACACACCATCACATATCGAGATTCTCTTGCCCTTATTATGGGAATTAAGAGCATTTTCTAGACTGAAACTCCCTATTTTCAACTCTGCCACTGGTAAGCTGGGTAACCCAGGGGTTATATATAATCACTTATTTCCTCATCTGTAAAGTTGGATAATGGTATCTCTAAAGGTTAAGATTCAAAGAGACGATGCATTATAAGCATTTAGTATATGCTAGGCACCATCCTAAACACTGGAAAGTTAGTTAGTTATTATCTCCTAATCCACTTTGGAAGGGTTTTAATCTCTTCCAGAATTATATTTACTCAAGAATTTGTTTCATCAAAGAATAAACCTCGGCCAGGCGCGGTGGCTCATGCCTGTAATCCCAGCACTTTGGGAGGCTGAGGCGGGTGGATCACGAGGTCAGGAGATCGAGACCATCCTGCCTAACATGGGGAAACCCTGTCTCTACTAAAATTACAAAAAATTAGCCAGGCGTGGTGGTGGGCGCCTGTAATCCCAGCTACTTGGGAGGCTGAGGCAGGAGAATGGCGTGAACCCGGGAGGCGGAGCTTGCGGTGAGGGGAGATCGCGCCACTGCACTCCAGCCTGGGCAACAGAGCGAGACTCTGTCTCAAAAAATAAATAAATAAATAAATAAATAAATAAATAAACCTCTTCAAGAAAAAATCCTAGTGATATTAATACAACTCCCAAAGACTTGATAACCTCCTCATCCTTCATAGCATCTTTTCCTTGGAAATCTTACAAGGTTTTACAGGACTTTACTTATTTATAAAAATTTCACCTATGCCAGTAGATGAAATCATTCTATGCCAATTTAGCATTTAAATGCTATGTTCCCAACTTACAAAGACTAACTCTGGGGAGGTCAAAGTGAATGAGTAGAAAAAAGGCAGGATTCAGAGAATCCCAAGCAGCAAGGCAAAGTGGATTATAGAATACCTTTGGTGTAGGCCAGGTGTAGTGGCTCACGCTTGTAATCCCAACACTTTGGGAGGCTGAGGTGGGCGGATCACCTGAGGTCAGGAGTTCATGGCCAGCCTGACCAACATAGTGAAACCCCATCTCTAGTAAAAATACAAAATTAGCTGGGTGTGGTGGCGCATATGCCTGTAATCCCAGCTACTCAGGAGGCTGAGGCGGCAGAATCACTTGAACCCGGGAGGCAGAGGATGCAGCGAGCCGAGATCGTGCCATTGCACTCCAGCCTGGGCAACAAGAGCGAAACTCCATTTAAAAAAGAAAAAAAAAAATAGAATGCCTTTCATGTAGTGACTGGAGGCAAGTCAGCTAGCTGCCTTCAAGATCCGGTCGTTGAAGCCAGGGCCCAATCCTGGTGCTCAGCAATACAAACTTGCTTAGGCTCTTAAGTTTCTTCAGAAACAGGCCAGGCATGGTGGCTCACACCTATAATCCCAGCACTTTGGGAGGCCGAGGCCAGCAGATTGCTTGGTTCAAGACTAGCCTGGACAACATGGCAAACCCGTCTCTCCATGAAAAGTAAAAAAAAATAGCCAGGCATGGTGGTGTGCACTGGTGGTCACAGCCACTCAGGAAGCTGAGGTGGGAGGATCGCTTGAGGCCAGGGGGCAGAGGTTGCAGTCAGCCAAGATCGCAGCACTGCACTCCAGACTGGGTGAAAAAGCAAGACTGCCTAAAAAAAAAAAGGTTCTGTATATAAGAACAGCCTCCAGCTGACCCCATGATTGAAAACTTTATCTCACCTGATTTTCTATAACTCTGCAAACCTTAGGGCCAAGAACCTATTTAGGAATTGTATAGGCAGATGTAATTACAGATGTACTTTATCCTCTATCATTATAGCACAAGCATCTGGAGGTTGAGGCTCAAGTTATTTATATTCAATGATACCACATGAAAGAGGCAGCTGTACTAACAGGACAGGACATATATAACCTGTGTAAATTATCAGGGTTTTCATTTCCTGCACAGATGGGTGGAAATTACTAAACAGCCTTGAGAAAACACCTGGTATTCATGGACATTTTCATACTGAAACACCAAATTGAATGGTTAGAACCAAAAATCAAGATATTCCCACAAAACCAAAGCCAGAGTTCCATTAAATGCAGAGGGTTGTCTCAGATTGAAGAGGCAAGTGGTAAGATGCCTGCATGCCATTTCCCTAGGCCCTGTCACACCAATCTATTTCTCTTTTTTTTTTTTTTTAAAAAAGACTGAGTTTCGCTCTGTCGCCCAGGCTGGGGTGCAGTGGCATGATCTTGGCTCACTGCAACCTCCACCTCCTGGGTTCAAGCAATTCTGCCTCAACCTCTTGAGTAGCTGGGATTATAGGCACATGCCACCACACCCAGCTAATCTTTGTATTTTTAGTAGAAATAGGGTTTCACCACGTTGGCCTGGCTGGACTCAAACTCCTGACCTCAAGTGATCCACCCACCTCAGCCTCACAAAATGCTGGGATTACAGGCGTGAGCCACTGCACCTGGCCCCCTCCTTGCTTTTCTACTAGATATGTTATTGGAGCAGAGAGAAAGTAGGGACAGAACTGTAGGCAGAAGGTAATACTGCTTACTCCAGGCACACTTTAAAATAATCAGTCACGTTCCAGTCTCCTAAGAATTCAATTCTCTTATGACATAAAGTTCATTAAGAAACAGGAAGACTGGGCCAGGCACGGTGCTTCACGTCTATAATCCCAGCACTTTGAGAGGCTGAGGTGGGAGGATGGCTTGAGCCCAGTTCGAGACCGGCTGGGCAACAAAGCAAGACCCCATCTCTAAAAAATAAATACATTAAAAAAAAAAAAGCAATAGGAAGACTGGCTTGTTTACCCAACCAACCAGTTGTTGAAGGAAAACATCAGTCTTTTTTGAGGCAGGGTCTCACTGGCACTCAAGCTGAGCTGCAATGGCGCAATCATGGCTCACTGCAGCCTCTAACTCCTGGACTCAGGCCATCCTCCCCCCTCAGCCTCCTGAGTAGCTGGGAACAGCCACCACACCTAATTTTTAAATTTCTTATAGAGACAGAGTCCCACTGTGTTGTCCAGGCTGGTCTCAAACGTGTGGACTCAAGCAATTTTCCGACCTCAGCCTCCCAAAATGCTGGGATTATAAGCATGAGCCACTGCACCCAACCAAACATCATTGTCTTGCTGGAGCTATAATCCAAACACTGTTCTAATTACAACTACTTCATCTCTAAGATGCTACTGGTAGTCTGAGGAACTAGGGAATTAACACAGCTATAGGATTTGTACCAAACTGATACATACTAAACCATGTTTCCTCAAGGAGTTTAATGTTAGACTGCTTGAACTATATTATCAGTTATTTCAACAAAATCTAAATGACATCTTAGATCGGCAAAGACTCTAAAACCAACTGGTCAAGTGGAAAGAACACTGACCCGAGGAACAGGATGACACGATCTACTTAGGCTTTAGTTTCCAAACCTGTAATTAGATCATTTTTAGCTGTGATTTCCAAATTTTGATTAAAAACAAAACATCATGCAGCCGGGCACAGTGGCTCACACCTGTAATCCTAGCACTTTGGGGGGCTGAGGTGGGTGGATCACAAGGTCAGGAGTTCGAGACCAGCCTGGCCAATATGGTGAAACCGTCTCTACTAAAAATACAAAAATTAGCTGGGCGTGGTGGCACATGCCGGTAGTCGCAGCTACTCAGGAAGCTGAGGCAGGAGAATCGCCTGAACCCAGGAGGCAGAGGTTGCAGTGAACCGAGATTGTGCCACTGCACTCCAGCCTGGGCAACAGAGGGAAGACTCCATCTCAAAAAAAAACCCACCATGCTTTGCTTTTTGTAGTTGTATCCCAAACTTAACTCCTCCTGCCCACCAAATCAGGAATGCATTTATCAAAGAATGTAAATATGCAGGCAATACTGCCACCCAGTGACCTGTCAAGTCTTAAAGGAAACGGCTGGGCATGGTGGCTCACACCTGTAATCCCAGCACTTTGGGAGGCCGAGGCAAGCAGATCATCTGAGGTTAGGAGTTCGAGACCAGCCTGACAAACACGGAGAAACTCCATCTCTACTAATAGTACAAGAAAAATTAGCTGGGCATGGTGGTTCGCGCCTACAGTCTCAGCTACTCAGGAGGCTGAGGCAGTAGAATCGCTTGAACCTGGGTGGCGGAGGTTGCAGCGAGCTGATATTGCACCACTGCACTCCAGCCTGGCGAAACAGCGAGACTCCGTCTCAAAAACAACAACAACAACAACAAAAAACCCACAAAAATTAGCCAGGTGTGGTGGCGCATGCCTGTAATCCCAGCTACTCAGGAGGCTGAGGCACGAGAATTGCTTGAATCCGGGAGGCAGAGGTTGCAGTGAGCCAAGATCACGCCATTGCACTCCAGCCGGGGCAACAAGCAAAACTCCGTCTCACACGCAAAAAAAGAAAACACCATGTAAGTGAACATCACTGGGTTTTCCATTCCCCATTTTCAAAGATCCTCAACCCCCTCTCTATGAACTCTGTATGCCACTTCCAACTCTACATTTGAATATATATATATATACTTTTTTTTTTTTTTTAAGAGAAAAGGTCTTGCTAATATTGTCCAGGCTGGTCTCTCCTCAGCTTAAGTGATCCTCCTGCCTCAGTCTCACAAAGTGCTGGCACAGGTGTGCACCATCGTACCTAGCCCATTTTAACATTTTTGAATACACAGTTACCACTGCCATCTAAATACTAACAATAGCAGTGAACTGCTCTGAGTGGAAAGCAGTCTATGGGTTTTAGAATAGCAACACATGGCCTGCCTATTGTGGGAACAGCTAATTCAAATATGATACTTAGCTTTATCCCAACATAATCATCCCTTCAGGATAAATTTAAGTCCTTCACTGATATGAATGCTGCTTCAACTACAATTCAGAGGAAAGGAGATATCTGATTTCATTATTTAAGTGGAGTAATACAAATATCTCAAAAGTCCAAAACACTTAAGAAGTTTTATTGAAAACGATAAAATACAGTAACACCAGATTCTCATTTTAAAGTAAAATTAACAGCATCTTCCAGAACATTCCTAGAACTGAACCATTCTTGTCACTATTGAAAAACAAAGCCAAGTTCCAAATCCAAAATAATAAATGAACGTGCTGATAAACATTCTTCTTATGGTTCCAGCCCCTACTTTAGTTATTTTCCTAAATTTTACATGTGTACCTTTTCAAGAAAGAGTAAGTTTTTTAAGTGATCAATATTTATGAGAACTGGACTTTCTTCATATAATTACAAAAAAAAAAAAAAAACCCAAAAAACAAAATCCACAACGCACCCTACTCAAACTCAGATAAAATACACATTTGTTCATTAAAGCTCACCTGCTTTAGAGAATTTTTTCTCTTCACACATTAGCACAGTAAGCCAATGTTTGATCCATGCTGCAAAAGCTACACAAAACGAAAAGCCCTGGTAACTCCCTAGGGAACTCTTAAGGCAAAGCAAAAGCAAAAACCTTATGCTACAAAAGTAAAACAAAAAGCAGAGGCATTGGGACTGTGGAGACGGCTCAGATGAATAAGCACCACAAGGATGAAGAAAACAATTTTTGTAGAAATTTTTGCAAGAAGATAAAGTCCAAAAAAGAACATAAAACATCAATTATCCTGCAGAAATAATTATCATGTCAGGTAACTTGACTACTGAAATAAGCTCTGTTTGGATTTTAATTAACAGATTCTTAATTCTCTCCTACATTTACCAGTAGTATCAGAGCCTTGTGTTGGGGGCTTGTTTCTTCCTTTTCATCATAAGACCTTTAGTCGGAGACCTGCCCAGCAATTCCTGTAGAAGACAATCTTGGTGTGTTTTAGGTCCTTCTTTGGAAAGCTGTCATCTCCCTTTCCACCTAAACACTAACTCTACCTCTGGGCAGTCACTTCATGTTTTTGTGTTGCATTAGAACACATTTTTCAGCATGGAGATTTATTTAAGGCTCATACTTTACAAGTTGGTCCCATCAAACAATGACTACAAGGCAGAAGTTTATCAAATGGCATGAATCAAACACTTGCACATTTCAAAAGAATACAGTTTACATTCATCTCGAAATCTGAGATTAAGAAACTATTAGCTGGTTTCCAACTGCTTTCAATACTGGTTTGAAGTTTGAATAATTTTACTGTATAGACATTAAATATTTTGTTTAAATATTAAACATTAAATCTTTTCCTGACTATCCAGACAGAAAGAGAAAGCAGGAACAGGCAAAGAAGCAACAGTCCAATTAACAGACTTGTGACTTCTACGCCATCTGTAACAAGGGGAGGGATTTCAGTAAGGGTTCCAAAAACGCCTAGAAGGTGGTTTCTAAAAATTCACCTTTACGTGGCATAAGCCATTTTTTTCTACAAAAGGTATCTGATTCCTACAAAGGGGGAAGAAACCCAGAAAACAAAACTGGGGTGGTGTCCTGTTGTGTGATGGAAGGGCATTATACCATTACACTCGTTTAATAACTTATAGAGGATACTCTGTAGCAATAAAGAAATTGTCATTTTATTTTGCCCTATCAGCCCCTGCCACATAGAAGAGCTCTTCCTGAGAAACTAAAAATTTCAAACCTGGCTATCCTCAAAGGACACCTGAAGCCTGGTTTGGGTACTCAAGAAGATGAAGGCTTCCTGCTAGCAGGAAGCAATTCTCCACTACCTTTTAGGTTTACTGCACAATAGTCTAAGCACCAGTCAAATTGGCTATTTCAGTAAACCTCAATGTCACCTGCTCATATATTTTCAGCTAATCCTTCACTGTTTTCTATATTAACATTTAAAAACAACTTGCTGGCTGCGTGCCGTGGCTCACGCCTGTAATCCCAGCATTTTGGGAGGCTGGGGTGGGCAGATCACCTGAGGTCAGGAGTTCGAGACCAGCCTGGCCAACATGGCAAAACCGGTCTCTATTAAAAATACAAAAATTAGCTGGGCGTGGAGGTGGGCACCTGTAATCCCAGCTACTTGGGAGGGTGAGGCAGGAGAATTGCTTGAACCCGGGAGATGGAGGTTGCGGTGGGGGAAAAAAAAAAAAACTTGCTAATACAAGTATAACTTTTTAAAAAAATTACCAAAGTTATCAATGTTGGGTTTAGCTGATAAAGCACTTCCTTAAGATGAACTAAAGGATGCTTCTCCCACAGGCAAATTGCAGATGGGTTACCTCATAATCTTTTAACTATCAAAGTCAATTAATTTGTAAACATTACTGAATAACTGGGCTTATCAATTACGCAAGGGAAACCAAGGAGCAACAGTGGCACAAGGCAAAAAAGCCTTAAAGAAAAAACTTTCTCTATATTTTCATAGTCAAAGAGGAGAGCCACAATACTATCGGCTATTTAATCAACAGAGCTATATTGAATTGATAACTAAATTACAAGTTGCTAAGAAATTAAATTTCTTAGCAACAGGCTTAAGCTACTGCTGCTCTCTTCCCTTCTTCTCCCCAATTATATATAGTCACCACTGTAAACAGCTCATATCTACACATTAAGCTGTGACTTAACTGTCAGGATACAGTTGTAGGAGCATCCTTCTTAATCATCTTTTTTAATTCAAGGAGAATATTCTCCAAGTGTCTGAATAGTTTAGACAATGTGACATATGATTTAAGTCACCCTTACACATACAGCTTCTATACTTGTCTTTGAAGACAATGTAAACCAACATTCCTTTAATAAGCCCCACAGAAAACTGCTTTTCCCTTGAGACAAACGTCCTTGGCAAAAAGGTGAAGTCAATAAATGGCTACCCAAAATAAGAGTCCCACCCCCAAATCACAGGTGGAGATATTATTACACCCGTCTCATAAAACTTTCAAGTCCCTATACTATGCAAAGAGTCTCATAACTGAACACAGGATTCTTCTAACATTTGACAACTTTAGTGTAGAAATTGGTTTCTAGAGTTCCATCTCTTCTTCTGTGCTAGTAGCTGTCTCCAAACTATTATAAAGAGACATCCCTGTTGGCCGAGGTTCCGAAAACAGTTCAGTTCTCTGAGGGAAGGCAGTGCCAGCAGCTACATGCTTAGCTTGGCTCTCTCCTGTATAGTTCTTAGTATTAGAGGATGGCTTTGGCTTATCAGAAAGGAGTTCAGGGAGGGGTTTCCAGAGAACAAGCTCCATGGAAGGACGGCTCCTAAGACATAAAATACAGACTTTTATCAAAAAATTTTAGGACATGAAAACAAAAGCTGTAGGTTGAAAAGCCAACATTACCTAGTATCTTAAGGACTGATGATAGCAAAACAGGAGATTTAGAACACACAAACTGATCTTTACTTTCTTTTTTTTTTTTTTTTTAAGAGATGGGGTCTTGCTGTGTTGTCCACAGTGGAGTACAGTGGTACAGTCATAGCTCACCGCAGCCTTTAACTCCTGGGGTCAAGCAATCTACCCACTTCAGCCTTCCCAGTAATTAGGACTACAGGCACATACCACCATGCCTGGCTCCAACTGATCTTTAGAAAGGCCCCTCAAATACATAACATTGCACACTTCAACATGTATATTTAACCAAATCAAGTGGTTGTAATGATGCTGTGATTGGAAGTATTTAAAAATCCAATATGAAAACGCAGAGCCCTTGATTGTTGGAAATTTTTTTAAGTTGTGGTTAATATTACATGTAGGCAGCTAGCTCATACTAAATCATTATAAATGAAAAGGAAACACTGGACAAACATGCTGAAAGTATCTCAGATGCCTTTTAGTATAGGTACAAAGTATAATGCTTTATGGGCCAGGCACAGTGGCTCATGCCTGTAATCCTAGCACTTTGGGAGGCCAAGCCAGGCAGATGGTTTGAGCCCAGGAGTTTGCAACCAGCCCGGGCAATGTGGTGAACCCCGTCTCTACAAAAAATACAAAAATTAGCTGGGTGTGGTAGCAGGTGACTGTAGTCCCAGCTACTCGGGAGGCTGAGGTGGGAGTATCACCTGAGCCCAGGAGGTCAAGGCTGTGGTGAGCTGTGATCATGCCACTACACTCCAGCCTGGGTGACAGAGTGAGACCCTGTCTCAAAACACAAAACAAAACAAAACAAAACAAGCTTCATGGTTAAGGCAAAATGACTATGTTACACACACACTGTGGCAGGGATGGTGTATGGGCCCAAAGACGAAGCAAAAATAAAACATAAAATAATGAGATACCCTTGGCTGGGCGCGGTGGCTCACGCCTGTAATCCCAGCACTTTGGGAGGCCGAAGAGGGTGGATCACAAGGTCAGGAGATCGAGACCATCCTGGCTAACATGGTGAAAACTCCAACTCTACTAAAAATACAAAAAACTAGCCGGGCAAGGTGGCAGGCGCCTGTAGTCCCAGCTACTCGGGAGGCTGAGCAGGAGAATGGCGTGAACCCGGGAGGCGGAGCTTGCAGTGAGCCAAGATCAGGCCACTGCACTCCAGCCTGGGCAACAGAGCGAGACTCCATCTCAACAACAACAACAACAAAAAAAACGAGATACCCTCAAAGGCTAGCTTCTGGAAAACTACCAAAAGCAGAAAGTGCTATATTTTAGGCTGGAGGGCAACGTGACCAGCTTACTTCTGGCTATTTACCCACCCTTAGGGATGGGTACTTAATTATAAGCTCAAGATAGGACCCTAATGCAAAACCTCTGTGATCAAAGACCAAATAGCAGCTGAACTTCTAGCACAAATCATCTCCACTGTATCCAAAGGTAATAATGCCTCACCTATCTGCCCTCACTGACTGGTGTCCTAAGAGGCTTTTTCAGATACCTGAAACTTGCCCTTATTGAGTGCCAACTCGATCTAAAGTCTTTCCTAGGCACTTTATAACTAACTTCCTTACTATTTTACATAGTGAATAATGACAATTTGAGATCACGGAGGCTTCACGGACTACAGGATTAGAGCTGGGCTAATCATTACTCAGGGGCCCCAGGCCACTTTACTTTTTAGGTTATTGTGTTTGCTTTCCAGTTTCCTCTCTTGTCCTCACAGTGTAGTCACAGCTCCCTGTTAGGAGTTTTGTTTGTTCTGCTCTCATTTGCTGTTTCTGCTTCTACTCTGATGATCTAGGAAACCAGATAACTGAGCTCATAAACTGTGTTTAGATTAAGAGCAAAACAGTTCTGCTAAAGGCCTGGAAGGACTATGCTATGAGCCAAGAATATGAGCTTTGTTTTGCAGTCTTTGCAGCAACTGCTTTCACTGTTGGGCCACTTTATTTTTTTTCCTAGGCCGCAGTGTTGTTCCTGGGTCACTTAGAAAGCCAGGTAAACAAGAGCCTTTAAAATGTGGTTCCTGTATCACAGGAACTTGAGAGTGGGCTCTCTTGCCAGTCATCTCATTTCCAAATAGCAGACTGCAGTCCATTTCAGGTCTTCAAAGGAACCAAAGAGTAAGTAGGCAAGGCAGCCACTTCCCCATACTTCAAACTCCTGCTTGTAAAGCACTTTGCTCACCCCTAATGAACTAGGAAAAAGCCAATCTCCAATTGCCTGGGGATCAGGAGATAAAAAGAGCTAATGAGGACAGGGTGGGCAGAATCTAGACATTGGGTCTTCCCTCCAAGATCATAATTAAATAGAAATCAGGTACCAAAACTTACATAGACTCAATCATTTTCTTTGTAAAAACTTCATCAAATTCCCTCTTCAAACCTGTTTTCATGGTATCAGAAAGGACAAGACTGGGGAGATGGTTAACATTTCTGTCAGCTTCAACTTCTTCATCTTCATCAATTATCCTAAATCAATTAAGGCAGCAGAAGAAAGAAAAAATATTTAGTCAAGCTATTATATATTCTAGTATTTGGACAAAATTTTAAAAATAAAAAAGGATAAAAGCAGTAAGTAATACAGCAATAGAACAAGCAAAAAATGAGGCTATACCTGAGTATAAAAGGTATACTCAGGCCGGGTGTGGTGGCTCACACCTGTAATCCCAGCACTTTGGGAGGCCGAGGCGGGCAGATCACCTGAGGTTAGGAGTTCGAGAAGAGCCTGGCCAACATGGTGAAACCCTATCTCTACTAAAAATAGAAAAATTTGTCGGGTGTGGTGACACATGCCTGTAATCCGGCTACTCAGGAGGCTGAGGCAGGAGAATCACTTGAACCCGGGAGGCGGAGGTTGCAGTGAACCAAGATCGTGCCATTGCACACCAGCGTGGGCAACAGAGCAAGACTCCGTCTCAAAACAAAAAAAAACTATACTCAGAGGGTTGTTCAACATTTCATTTAACGAAAAAGTTTTACATATAATCAAATCTGAATAATATTTCAGAGAATTATCACATAAACCAAAATTAATACTCAGAGGCAGTAAGTGAAAACGCTCAGTAGTTCTATGAGAAGAATTCACTTTAAAAGCACATACTTCGGGGCCGGGCGTGGTGGCTCACACTTGTAATCCCAGTACTTAAGGAGGCTGAGATAGGCAGATCACCTGAGGCCAGAAGCTCCAGACCAGCCTGGCCAACATCACAAAACCCTGTCTCTACTAAATATACAAAAAAAGGCCGGGTGCAATGGCTCATGCCTGTAATCCCAGCCCTCTGGGAGGCAGAGGCAGGCGGACCACAAGGTCCGGAGTTCGAGACCAGCCTGGCCAACGTGGTGAAACCCCATCTTTACTAAAAATACAAAAATTAGCCAGGTGTGATGGCAGGCACCTGCAATCCCAGCTACTCAGGAGATTGAGGCAGGAGAATCGCCTGAACCCGGGAGGTGGAGATTGCAATGAGCTGAGATCGCACCACTGCACTCCAGCCTGAGCAACAGAGCGAGACTCTGTCTCCAAAAATAAAAATAAAAATACAAAAAAAAATTTGGCCAGGTGCGGTGGCAGACACTTGTAATCCCAGCTACTCAGGAGGCTGAGGCAAGTGAATTGCTTGAACCTGGGAGGCGGAGGTTGCAGTGAGCGCCGAGTTCACACCATTGTACTCCAGCCTGGGTGACAGAGCAACACTGTTTCAAAAAAAAAAAAAAAAAAAAAAAAAAGGCTCAGTAGACTGGCCCGGCACAGTAGCTCATGCCTGTAATCCCAGCACTTTGGGATGCCGAGGCAGGCGGCTTGCTCGAGCCCAGGAATGCGTGACCAGCTTGGGCAACATGGCGAAATCCCGTCTCTACAAAAGATACGAAGATTAGCCAGGGGTGGTGGCACATGCCTGCAGTCCCAGCCACTTGGGAGGCTGAGGGGGGCAGATGGGTTGAGCCTGAAAGGTTAAGACTGCAGTGAGCCACTGCACTCCAACCTGGGTGACAAAGCAAGACCCTGTATCAATTTAAAAAAAAAAAAGGGGGGGGGCTGGGTGGTGTGGCTCACGCCTGTAATCCCAGCACTTTGGGAGGCCGAGACAGGGGGATCACCTGAGGTCATGTGTTCCAGACCAGCCTGACCAAAATGGAGAAACCCCATCTCTATTAAAAATACAAAATTAGCCAGGCGTGGTGGCGCATGCCTGTAATCCCAGCTACTTGGGAAGCTGGGGCAGGAGAATCACTTGAACCCGGGAGGTGGAGGTTGCATTGAGCCAAGATGGCACCACTGCACTCCAGCCTAGGTAACGAGCAAAACTCCATCTAAAAAACAAAACAGGCCGGGTGCGGTGGCTCACGCCTGTAATCCCAGCACTTTGGGAGGCCGAGGCGGGCGGATCACGAGGTCAAGAGATCGAGACCATCCCGGCTAAAACGGTGAAACCCCGTCTCTACTAAAAATACAAAAAAATTAGCCGGGCGTAGTGGCGGGCGCCTGTAGTCCCAGCTACTTGGGAGGCTGAGGCAGGAGAATGGCGTGAACCCGGGAGGCGGAGCTTGCAGTGAGCCGAGATCCCGCCACTGCACTCCAGCCTGGGCGACAGAGCGAGACTCCGTCTCAAAAAAAAAAAAAAAAAAAAAAAAAAAAAAAAACAAAACAAAAAAACAAAAACGAATACACTTTGAATTATCTGACTTAGTCTTTCTGAGAGGCTAAGGATCAAGGTATCACCAAATGATAAACAGAACTAGCTTATATGAGCAGAGTTATTACAAGAGAACAGCAAAAAACCAGCTATATACACTGCCCATTTACCTGTCCTCAATCTCCTGAAGCTTCCTTCGGGCAACTTCACACTGTGGTTCTCCAGTTGTCTGATCCATTTCTTCACAAATAACATCTAATATCCCAGGTATGGAAAGGCCACTAACACTGGGATTTACTCCATGCCCCTCTACATCCTGATGTGCACAAAGAATCCAGTCATTAGGACCAGCACAGAGCTCTGCTTCAGTTATCCTTTTCTTTCTTACTGGACAACTGAAAAAAAGAAAAAAAATTCAATGAAAATCCCAACTAATATAAATGAAATGTTTATCATTCCTATCTCCAATCAAGTTTTTGTATTTAAAAAACTAGCTTTTTTGACAAGTGTGTAGTAACAAGATGGAAAATACTGCGTATTTTTCCTGCTATTCTCACAGCCACACTAAACTGTTTTCTTCTACTGCTCTTTGCCAAATAAAGATGCACCTGTAAGATTCTGCCTGTTCAGACAGTAAGTGTTCAATGTGGGACCTTAAAGTCATTCCTGCTTATTTGGCTCTGGAAAGGTCAAGTGGGAAGTAAAGAAACCAAAAGTTGGCTAGGTGTGGTGGCTCACACCTGTAATACCAGCACTTGGAATGGCTGAGGTGGGAAGATCACTTGAGCCCAGAGTTCAAGACCAGCTTGGGCAACATAGTGAGACGCTAATTCAAACCATGAATGAATGAATGAATGAATGAAAAAAAGAAACCAAAAGTCAGCAATTCAGCATCATATTTAGTCATACTGCTACTGCTCCATCAAACATATAGGAAGATGGTCTGGCAGCCATTCTATATTCCCTTAGGGCAAAAACATGTCTCATGAGGTTTGTTCAAAGTATTAATATTACAGGTGTGGGTGACAGCATTAATTTCTTGGTCCCCTTCAAAATGTCAGAGGCTCTATCAGTGTCCAACCAATAGTGGGGTCCAATTTTCTCCCACTTTGCAACATAATGTCTTCACATCCTGAACAAATTTGTATTTCATAGAAACTTTAGAATTCATCAAATCCATTTTTTTTTATTTGGAAACTAGGACCTAGAAAAACTAACCCGGCTTCTCCAAAGTGTCACCGTAAAGTAGTGAGTTTATCTTGAGGACCAGACACAAGAGCTGCTGAATCATATCTCCATGCCATTTTTACTAACTCCCTGTACCTTCTTAGGGAGGTTCAACTGTTCAAGTGCTTACCACCAAGTAGTATTTGCAAGCACTACGATATACCCAGTGTTTAGCTGAAAGCTGTCTGAAGCAAGCTGAATAGTCAATCGGCCCTGTTCTATTATGTACGTAGACCAAAAGTACTTTATTGCCTGGGCATCAGCAAGTACAGTCTCAAGGCCAGAATACAGCTTTATAACCAAAAAAAATCATTAATGGCTACCACAGCCTCTGATTCTTTAAACTGAGGGCCAAAGAAGAGGCATGTATTTTACAAAAAGAAATTTCTATTCCATGTTAAGACTGTGAAAACCAACATTAAAGTCTCTGGCAATATAAAATCTGACAAGTAACAGATCTCTCAAACCTAGATTTTTTTTAATGCAGTCAACTATTAAACAAAATGTTTGGTTTATAATTAGTTTTAACTCCTAAGAAAGCATTAAGAATGTTCAGCTATATCTAACATTTCTGTCATATTTCAATAGTTTTAAAATATGGGATATTTTAGGCCGGACACGGTAGTTCATGCCTGTAATCCCAGCACTTTGGGAGGCCGAGGCAGGTGGATCACTTGAGGGCAAGAGTTTGAGATGAGCCTGGCCAACATGGTGAAACCCCGTCTCCACTAAAAATACAAAAAAAAAAAGCTGGGCGCAGTGGCACGCACCTTTAATCCCAGCTACTAGGAAGGCCAAGGCAGGAGAATCGCTTGAACCCAGGAGGGGGGAGGTTGCAGTGAGCCAAGATTGCGTCACTGCACTCCAGCCTGGGCGACAGACCAAGGCTCCGTCTCAAAAATAAATAAATAAATAAATAAAGTATGTGATATTTTGAAAAGCAGAAAATAGTTATACTTACAAAAAACAGCTAAGAAAAAGCAGAATAAGGCGAGTGTCGTGGTGTGTGCCTACAGTTCCAGCTACTTGGGAGGCTGAGGGAGGAGATCACTTGAGCCCAGTGTTTGAGACCAGCCTGAGCAACACAGTGAGAGTCCACATCCCCAAAAAGCAAAATAAATCTAAAGGGAACAGGTAATTTCCCCACACATCTAATAATTCCACTATAAAATGCAAATAAAGTTTAACACCTGGGTTCTGCGCTCTGACCTCCAACAACATGATTTAGACTAAGTTATTTCATGCCTGTAGGTCCACTTTCTAAATAGAGATCACTGATAATTAAGTCCCAAAGATAATATGATAGCACGCTTCTGGGCATTAGACATCCAAAGATCTCATCCCACTGCCTCCCAAGGCCTCAACTTCTCCATTTGTAAATTAAAGATGGTTAACTTTTTAAGCCGATAGTTTCTATACTTTAAACTTTTTATTTATTTATTTTAGCATCTATAATAACATCTTAAGAGAGAACCGCAAAAGATAAAAGCAAAAAGTTTCCTGTGTTATCCACAGTAATCCTAAGGCAATAAAGAACATAAATATTTTCTGTTCAGTGGGCCTCACTGCAACCTCCGTCTCCTGGGTTCAAGCAATTCTCCCGCCTCAGCCCCCCGAGTAGCTGGGACTACAGGTGCGCACCACCACGCCCGGCTGACTTTTGTATTTTTAAGAGAGAAGAGGTTTCACCATGTTGGCCAGGCTGGTCTCAAACTACTGATCTGAGGTGATCTGCCTGCCTCGGCCTCCCAAAGTGCTAGGATTACAGGCATGAGCCACCGCACCCGACCTAGTGATTTTTAAATTAAGGGAACTTTCAAATTTAATGTTTTATGAATCTATGTATCAACAAGTTTAGAAAATCCAAAGTGTCCAATGGCAAAAAGAATCATACACAAAGTTAAAAGACAAAGGATAAATTTGAAGAAAACATTCCTTAATAAAGATTTCCTGGCAGGACGTGGTGGCTCACGACTATAATCCCAGCACTTTGGGAGGCCGAGGCCACTTTGGGAGGCCGAGGCGGGCGGATCACAAGGTCAGGAGATAGAGACCATCCTGGCTAACAGGGTGAAACCCTGCCTTTACTAACAATGCAAAAAATTTGCCGGGCGTGGTGGCACGCACCTGTAATCCCAGCTACTCGGGAGGCTGAGAGAATTGCTTGAACCCAGGAAGCAGAGGTTGCAGTGAACCCTGATCGTGCGACTGTACTGCAACCTGGGCAACAGAGCGAGGATACATCTCAAAAAAAAAAAAAAATTCCTATAAGAAAAAGATCAATAAGCCAATAGAAAATTTGCATAAACAGCCAGGAGCAGTGGCTCACGCCTGTAATCCAGAGCTTTGGGAGGCTGAGGCGGGTGGATCATGAGGTCAAGGAATCAAGACCATCCTGACTAACATGGTGAAACCCCATCTCTACTAAAAATATAAAAATTAGCTGGGCCTGGAGGTGCAAGCCTGTGGTCCCAGCAACTCGCGAGGCTGAGGCAGGAGAATCGCTTGAGCCCAGGAGGTGGAGGTTAAAGTGAGTCAAGATGGTGCCACTGCACTCCAGCCTGGTGGCAGAGCAAGAGTCCATCTCAAAAAAAAAAAGAAAAAAAAAAAGAAAAGATGTCCAGTATCACTTATAATTAACAAATATAAATTAAATCACAATCTAAACTTCTTTAACCTTTTTAACTATAAAATTCTACAAACATAAAATTACATCAAACATACAGCTTAACAAATAATTACAAAACAAACAATGATGACAATATAATTTAAGATATAGAATAGGCCAGGCGCAGTGGCTCACAACTGTAATTCCAGCACTTTGGGAGGCCAGGGCCAGCGGGCGAGCGAATCACAAGGTCAGGAGATTGAGACCATCCTGGCTAACATGGTGAAACCCCGTCTGTACCAAAGATACAAAAAATTATCACACGCCTGTAGTCCCAGCTACATGGGAGGCTGAGGCAGGAGAATCACTTGAACACGGGAGGCAGAGGTTGTGCCGAGGGAGCCGAGATTGCGCCACTGCACTCCAGCCTGGACAACAGAGCAAGATGCCATCTCAAAAAAAAAAAAAAAAAACAGCTACAGTATACTGGCCAGGCACAGTAGCTCACGCCTGTAATCCTAGCACTTTGGAAGGCCAAGGCGGGCAGATTACTTGAAGTCATGAGTTTTAGACCAGCCTGGCCAACATGGCACAACCATTTCTCTACTAAAAATACAAAAAATTGGTTGGGTGCGGTGGCTCACGCCTGTAATCCCAGCACTTTGGGAGGCCAAGGCGAGAGGATCATCCGAAGTCGGAAGTTCCAGACCAGCCTGACCAAAATGCAGAAACCCCATCTCTACTAAAAATGCAAAATTAGCCAAGCATGGAGGCACATGCCTGTAATCCCAGCTATTCAGGAGGCTGAGGCAGGAGAACTGCTTGAAGCTGGGAGGGAGAGGTTGTGCTGAGCTGAGATTGCACCATTGCGCTCCAGCCTGGGCAACAAGAGCGAAACTCCGTCTCAAAAAAAAAAAAAATTAGCTGGGCATGGTGGCACGCGCCTGTAATCCCAGCTACTTGGGAGGATGAGGCAGGAGAATCGCTTGAACCTGAGACAGAGGTGACAGTGAGCTGAGCCTGCGCTACTGCACTCCAGCCTGAGCAACAGAGCAAAACTCCAGGGAAAAAAAAAAAAAGAAAAGATATACAATACTGCCAGCATCCCAAAATGGTAATCTAATCTTGCTCTGTCACCTAGGATGGAGTGCAGTGGCACAATCTTGGCTCACTGTAACCTCTGCCTTCTCCTCGTGCCTCAGTCTCTGGAGTGGCTGGGATCACAGGGGCGCACCACCACACCAGCTATTTCTTTGTATTTAGTAGAGACAGGGTTTCACCATTTTGGCCAGGCTGGTCTTGAATTCCTGGGCTCAAGCAATCCACCCACCCTGGCCTCCCCAAGTGCTGGGATTACAGGCATGAGGCACCACACCGGATGCCAAATCAGGACTTTAATGTGGATGCCTAATGATCCTAATGGTCCCAATTTACACTCCTACCCATATTTAAGAGTTCCTGGTGCTTCACACGCATCCCAACATCTGGAGGTAGAGTGGCATCTCATTGTGGCTTTAATACACATTTCCCTAAAGACTAATGAGGTTGAACGCTTTTTTATTTGGTTGTTCATGGATATTATCTTTGGGAAACCTTTTTACTTTTCTTTTTTTGGGACAGTCTCACTTTGTCACCAAGGCTGGAGTGCGGTAGGACGATCTCGGCTCACTGCAACCTCTGCCGCCCAGGTTCAAACGATTCTCCTGCCTCAGCCTCCCGAGTAGCTGGGATTACAGACACCTGCCACCGCACCTGGCTAATTTTTGTATTTTTAGCAGAGACGGGGTTTCATCAAATTGGTCAGGCTGGTCTTGAACTCCTGACCTCGTGATCCACCTGCCTCGGCTTCCCAAAGTGCCGGGATTACAGGTGTGAGCCACCGCGCCTGGCCTTACTTCTTTTTCTATTAGACTGTTTATGAGATATAATTTTTCATCTATTAGTTGGGCAGCAATCCCGAAGTTTAAAAACACACTTGTGTTCAGAGGATGTTAATGGGCATATAAATTGGCAAAAACTCACGTTCAAAATTTAAAATGCACACACTTTAAGACCCAGCAATTCCACGTCAAGGAAATCATTCATATACTTCCAAACATATACAAAGAACTTCAAAAGAATGGTCAGGGTAGATTGTAATAGCAAAAGATTAGAAATAATTTAGAAATGCATCAATAGGAAATTGGTTAATTATCTACACCAAGTCCTACGATAGAATTCCACACAACTACTTTCTTTTGTTTTTTTGAGACGGAGTCTCACTCTACTGCCCAGGCTGGAGTGCAATGGCGCAATCTTGGCTCACTGCAACCTCCACCTCCCGGGTTCAAGTGATTCTCCTGCCTCAGCCTCCTGAGTAGCTGGCATTACAGTTACGCACCACTACCCATGGCTAATTTTTGTATTTTAATAGAGATGGGGTTTCACCATGCTGGCCAAGCTGGTCTCAAACTCCTGACCTCCTGATCTGCCCTTCTCAGCCTCCCAAAGTGCTGGGATTACAGGTGTGAGCCACCACGCCTGGCCTCCACTCAACTATTGAAAGAGAAATTACGTAAACCTCTCTCTATGTGCTGATATGCAACAAGCTACAGAAGAGTAAAATGAAAAGATCAATGTGTTGCACAGTGTGAACCATATCTTCCTACAAATGTAAAAACACAGCCACTGCACTCCAGCCTGACAGAATGAGGCCTTGTCTCAAAAAAGAAAAAAAGAAAGAAAAAGAAAAACACTTGTGAACTTGGTAAATTTTTAGATTATCTTCTAAAGGAGACAATGAAAACAGGTAAGGGGGTTGTCTCTGGTGGGGAAAACTAGGGGTGTGGAGTAAAAGATTTTGTAATACAGCCTGGGGGACGGTTCACACCTGTAATCCCAGAGTTGGGAGGACTGCTTGAGGCCAGAAGTTCATGACCAGACTGGGCAACATAGTGAGACACCATCTCTACAAAAAATTTTTTAAAAAATTAGCTGAGCCTGGTGGCACAAGTCTGTAGTCTCAGCTGTTCAGGAGGCTGAAGCTGAGGGATCATTTGAGCCCAAGGAGTTTGAGGCTGCAGTGAGCTGTGATCACACAACTGCACTCCAGCTTGGGTGACAGAGCCCCTGACTTTAAAAAAAAAAAAAAAAAAAAGACTTTTCAGGCCGGGGCGGCTCAGGCCTGTAATCTCAGCACTTTGGGAGGCTGAGGCGGGAGGATCATGAAGTCAGAAGATCAAGACCACCCTGGCTAACACAGTGAAACCCCGTCTCTACTAAAAAAAAAAAAAAATTGCCAGGCGTGGTGGCGGGCGCCTGTAGTCCCAGCTACTCGGGAGGCTGAGGCAGGAGAATGGCATGAAGCCGGGAGGCGGAGATTGCAGTGAGCCCACATAGCGCCACTGCACTCCAGCCTGGGCGACAGAGGCAGACTCCGTCCCAAAAAAAAAAAAAAACAAAAACAAAACTTTTCAATATGTATCCTTTAAATTATTTTACTTTGTGCATGTAATATTAACATGGCTCAAAATCCAAATATTACAACTTGTTATAGAGCGAAAAGTTTCCCTCTGACCTGTCTGCCTGCCACTGTTACTTTCTCTAAAAGACAACCAATGTCACTAATTTCTGTGTCTCTTTCCAGAGACACTCATCTAATGTTTCACCTTTTCACTTAAGTAATTTAGACTATAACAGGGGTTCAACTAACGGTGACCACAGAGTGAATAAACAACCACTGAAACTTACTCATCATCCTCCTCCTCCTCTCGCTTGTGTTTCTTTTTACAGTGAACAGAAACACTGTTGAAACAAACAAAAATCAGTCAATTAAGAAATGTACTCGAGCTTGTGGTTTCAGTATCCTCTTTCTTGCTCCAATAATCTTGCTCATCCCCACATACCAAACGTCCCTTTCTGAGCCTAGTGGGATGGGTACAAATCACAGGTCAGTCGGGTAACGGTGGATTGCCCCGACAGAACTGGACAGTGAAATCTCAACTTGTCCTTTTATCAACGTAATGGAAGACAGATTAGGGAGGACCAAACCAGGGAAACGTCCTCGGGGCAGGCGCTGTGTTAAGCACTTTATTTAAATAATCTCACTAAGAGGACCCATTTCTGTCCCATGCTTGGCATACTTTGCAGATGAGACACTGAAAGTTGTCACTAACAGCGGCCGCGCCGAGGGGGCACCCAGACCGAGTCGCCCAGGTTCCAACTGGGAAAGTCTCACTTCTCCGGGCCGCAGTCGAGCTGAGGTTCGGACCGGACTCCTGGGCTATGTGACCCCCGGCGACTTACAGTTAACGTCTCCGGGGATCAGTTTCTTCATCTGTAAACTGGGCTGCGAAGCTCCCGCGGAGGGCCGTGGGGAGGGAGTCAAAAAGCCCCGGCGCGGAGCCCGCGCCCCTGCCCGCGCCCGCCGCGAGGGGCGCCCAGCCTGCCCGCCCGCCCGCCCGCCCTGCGCCCTGCGCCCGACGGGCTCCTCACCGTCCGCGCGCCGCACTCCCAGCGGGACTGCTAGGGACTGCGCGAGGTCCCGGCCGCGGGGCCAACTCGGCGCCGTCAGCCCCCGGCGGGAAGGCCCGGCCGGGGAAGGCCGGCTGCGGCGGCTGCAGGAAGTCCGAGCCGCCGCTCAGAGGGAGGCCGCTGAAGGGCCGGCCGAGCGCAGCCATAGCCGGCGAGACGAGGAGGCTGCGACGGCGGCCTCGGCCGCCCGCGTCCCCAGGCCCGGCAGCCGCAGCCACAGCTACTGCCAAAACCCGCCAGCCTCGGATCCCGCTCTCGACCCCACGTCACGCCTTCTAGAACCCTCCACCTCAGGCCGCTCGGGGGCATGCCGGGATTTGTTGTGTGTAGAGGGCCGCTGCCGCGAGGGATGCCGGGATTTGCAGTCCTTCCGGACTACAAGCAAAATGGCTGCTTCTCGACCTCTTAGCTGGGGCTTAGGGTGTCTCTGGCTGGCCAAGAGTATGACCTAGGTTCAAATCCTCACTCCGCAAGTTTCGTATCTCAGTTTCCACAGTAGTAAAATGAGATAATAATAGTACATATAATCATAGAGTTGATGTGCGGAGTACATGAATTTAAACATCTAGAGCCAGGGCAGGGCGGTGGCTCACTCGTGTAATCCCAGCAATTTGGAAGGTGGAGGCGGGAGGATCTCTTGAGCCCGGGAGACCCTGTCTCAAAACAAAAACAATCTAGAGCCCTTAAAGCAGTGCCTGACATACAATACACGCTCATTATCAGTTATTCATATGTGACTCTATTAATAAAAATGTAACAATTTTAATACAAATGAAGTTGGTGGTGCCTTAGAACAGCATAGAAAATTAAGTAAAAACCTCAGCTGCTGGCTGGGGGCGGTGGCTCACGCCTGTAATCTTACCACTTTGGGAGGCCGAGGTGGGCGAATCACTTGAGGTCAGGAGTTCAAGACCAGCCTGGCCTACGTGGTGAAATCCCGTCTCTACCAAAAATATAAAAAATTAGCCAGGTGTGGTGGTGCGCGCCTGTAATCCCATGTACTCGGGAGGCTGAGGCAGGAGAATCGCTTGAACCCGGGAGGCGGAGGTTGCAGTGAGCCGCGATCGTGCCACTGCACTCCAGCCTGGGTGGCAGAGCGAGACTACGTCTCAAGAAACAAAACAAAACAAAAAAACACCTCAGTTGCGCGGCAAGGTGGCTCACGCCTGTGATCCCATCACTTTGGGAGGTCGGAGGTGGGAGGTGGGAGAATCGCTTGAGGCCAGGAGTCCATCCTAGGTCTAGCTTGACCCTATCTCAACAACAAAAAAATAACAATTAGCCCACCGTGGTAGTGCATGTCTGTAGTCCTAGCTACTGGGGAGGCTGAGGTGAGAGGATTGCTTGAGCCCATGAGTTTGAGGTTACAGTGGGCTATAATTACACCACTGCACTCCAGTCTGAGTGACAGAGCAAGACCGTGTCTCAAAAAAAAAAAAAAAAAAAAGTAAACTCAGGACTTAAACAAAAACAAAAGCCTCAGAGCACTTGTGACAGGTACTGGCAAGCCTTCCAGCCTCTTTGGGGCATTCAGAGGCAGTATCTCCTGCCTGGGCTTGGCAGATGGTCAACCCCCAATCACTGACTATGCCCTGTTTTTTCCATCTCACAACAGCACCACCATCCAATCGAAACTGCTTATGCCAATGTCAATGCCCTTCAGCCAAAGCACACACATGTACATAATTGAACAAAGAAAGGTTTATCTACTCATTCCAGTGAGGAAATTTCTCCCTTAGGAGGTGTTACAAAGGCTTTTTATAGGATTTGGGGTTGTGTTAGACGTTTTGAGGGAAGGTTTTAAAAAACAGCTTTTGGCTGGGCTCCGTGGCTCACGCCTGTAATCCCAGCACTTTGGGAGGCCGAGGCAGGTGGATCACGAGGTCAGGAGAGCGAGATCATCCTGGCTAACACGGTGAAACCCCGTCTCTACTAAAAATACAAAAAATTAGCCGGGCGTGGTGGTGGGCGCCTGTAGTCCCAGCTACTCGGGATGCTGAGGCAGGAGAATGGCGTGAACCCGGGAGGCGGAGCTTGCAGTGAGCCGAGATCATATCACTGCACTCCAGCCTGGGCAACAGAGTGAGACTCTGTCTCACAAAATAAATAAATAAATAAACAAATAAATAAATAAATACAAAAAATTAGCCGGGGGTGGTGGCGGGTGCCTGTAGTCCCAGCTACTTGGGAGGCTGAGGCAGGAGAATGGCGTGAACCCGGCAGGCGGAGCTTGCAGTGAGCGGAGATCACGCCACCGCACTCCAGCAAGGGAGACACAGCGAGACTCCCTCTCCAAAAAAAAAAAAAAAGAACTTTTCGGCCAGGTGCAGTGGCTCACACCTGTAATCCCAGCACTTTGGGAGGCCGAGGCAGTGGGATCACAAGGTCAGGAGTTCAAGACCAGCCTTGTCAATATGGTGAAACCCTGTCTCTACTAAAAATACAAAAATTAGCCAGGCATGGTGGTGGGCGCCTGTAGTCCCGGCTACTCAGAAGGCTGAGGCAGGAGAATAGCTTGAGTCGGGGAGCCCAGGAGGCAGAGGTTGTAGTGAGCTGAGATTCGAGATCGTGCCATTGCACTCCAGCCTGGGCGAAAGGGCAAGAGAAAGAAAAGGAAAGGAAAAAGAAAAGAAAGAAAACAGCTTTGCTCTGGAATTAATTCTGTCTGGAAGTGGGGATAAATTTGTGATTGGGTGTCCTTTTTGTTTTGAGACAGTGTGTCACTCTGTTGCCCAGACTGGAGTGCAGTGGTGCTATCTTGGCTCACTGCAGCCTCTCCCTCCCAGGTTCAAGCAATTCTCGTGCCTCAGCCTCCTGAGTAGCTGGGATTACAGGTGTGTGCCACCTTGCCTGGCTAATTTTTGTATTTTTAGTAGAGATGGGGTTTCACCATGTTGGCCAGGCTGGCCTCAAACTCCTGACTTCAAGTGATCTGCCCGCTGTGATTGGGTATCTTAACCAATCTTTTCTATAAGGTGTGAGGAATGAAGGAAAGCTCAACCTCTAACTGGTAAAGTAGCAACAGTCCTTCATATCAGTTAGGGTAGGGTGGTATTTAGCAATTTTTGTGGTTTGGACAATGTTTATGCTTTTGCCTGTATTTGGACAGGATTAAGTGAACTTGTTTTTGTCGTGATCCATGAGGTCAGAATAGCCTTGTTTGATAACGCTCTGTGAAATTTTTATGTTTAACAGGAGGACAATGAAGTCTAACAGTATTGTGTCTGGAATTTATTCTTTCCGGTTGGTTCTTGGTCTTCCCAACTTCAAGAACGAAGCCATGGACCTTCGCGGTGAGTGTTACAGCTCTTAAAGATGGTGCGTCTGCAGTTTGTTACTTCAGATGTTCAAATGTGTCCGGAGTTTCTTCCTTCCGGTGGGTGCGTGGTCTTGCTGACTTCAGGAGAGAACCTGCAGACCTTCACAGTGAGTGTTACAGCTCTTAAAGGTGGCCTGTCAGGAGTTGTTTGTTCTGCCAGGTGCGTTTGTGATCTTGCTGACTTCAGGAATGAAGCAGCAGATCCTCGCGGTGGGTGTTATGGCTCATAAAGGCAGTGCAAACCCAGAGTGGGCAGCAGCAAGATTTACTGTGAACAGTGAAAGAACAAACCTACAGTGTGAAAAGGAACACGAACAGGTTGGCGCTGCTGTCTCAAGTGGCCAGCTTTTATTCCCTTATTTGGTCTTGCCCACATCCTGCTGATTGGTCCATTTTACAGAGTGCTGATTGGTCCATTTTACTGAGCGCTGATTGGTCCATTTTACAGAGTGCTAATTGGTGCGTTTTTACAGAGTGCTGATTGGTGCATTTACAATCCTTTAGCTAGACACAGAGCACCGATTGGTGCATTTACAATCCTTTGACTAGACACAAAAGTTCTCCAAGTCCTCACTGGACTCAGAAGCTCAGCTGGCTTCACCTCCCAGTATCAAGGAAGTTTCCTCTGTCAGAAGATACTTTTCTCTTTCTGACCAAAAACCAAGGCATCACCATGAATGCCTCTCTTTTGTTCACACCCATATCTAGTCAGTTAGCAAGTTCTATGGACTTTACTTGCAAAATGCTTCCAGATTCTCCCCATTCCTCTCTAACTCTATTGCCATTGTGATGATGCAAGAGAAAACTAACGAACCCCCTTTGCCAAGATAATGGATTGGGTTTCAGTTTTCTTAATGCCATTTACAATTCAATTTTGCATTCTTAAAGTAAAATCCTGCTTAACTGGATATAAAAGATACTCTCCTGGGCAATTTCTACAAATGGCCACCTCATTCCTTACCTTAAAAAATATCCTTTTTTCCAGCCTTGGCTACCAAATAGTCTTGTTGACTCTGGGGTTTAGGGGAAAAAAAAAAAAAAAAATATTTTTCCAGGCTGGGTGTGGTGGCTCACATCTGAAATCCCAGCACTTTGGGAGGCTGATGTGGCTTGAAGCCAGAAGTTCAAGACAAGTCTGGGCAATATAGCAAGACCCAGTCTCCAAAAAAAATAAAACCTAAAAAATTAGCCAGGCATGATGGTGCATGCCTGTTGTCCTAGCTACTACTGAGGCTGAGACAGGGGGATTGCTTGAGCCCAGTAGTTCAAGGTTGCAGGACACCATGATCATGCCACTGTACTTCAGCCTGGGTGAGAGGGCAAAGCTCTGTCTCAAAAAAACAAAAACGATACTTCCAGATGATCCTATGTATAAATATAAATACATATATATATATATATATATATATATATATATTTTTTTTTTTTTTTTTTTTTTTTTTTTTTTTTTGAGACGGAGTCTCGCTCTGTCACCCAGGCTGGATTGCAGTGGCGTGATATCGGCTCACTGCAGGCTCTGCCTCCCGGGTTCACGCCATTCTCCTGCCTCAGCCTCCCGAGTAGCTGGGACTACAGGCGCCCGCCACCACACCTAGCTAATTTTTTGTATTTTTTTTTAGTAGAGATGGGGTTTCACCATGTTAGCCAGGATGGTCTTGATCTCCTGACCTTATGATCCGCCCACCTCGGCCTCCCAAAGTGCTGGGGTTACAGGCGTGAGCCACCGCGCCCGGCCATAAATATATATTTATAAAAAGAGAGTCATGGCCGGGCGTGGTGGCTCATGCCTGTAATCCTAGCACTTTGGGAAGTCAAGGTGGATGGATCACCTGAGGTCAGGAGTTTGCGACCAGCCTGGCCAACATGGTGAAACCCTGTGTCTACTAAAAATACAAAAATCAGCCAGGTGTGGTGGTGGGCAACTATAATCCCAGCTCCTCGGGAGGCTGAGCAGGACACTCGCTGGAACCCGGGAGGCAGAGGTTGCAGTGAGCCGAGATCGTGTCACTGCACTCCAGCCTGAGCAAGAAGAGCGAGATTCCGTCTCAAAAAATAATAAAAATAAAAAATAAATAAAAATAAGAGAGTCATACTCCATATTATTCTAAAATTTGCTTTTCTACCTAATTATATTTCTTGAATATCTATCTAAATTCATTCTTTCATTCTTTTTTTAATCACATGGCAGAAAGAGAAGGAGAGAGGGAAGGAAGGAGAGAGGAGGGAGAGAGAATGAGAGTGAAAGCCAGAGAGCCAGAGAGAGAGAGAAGAGAGGAAGCATGGGGTGTGGTGTAGAGACACCTTTGGCAGGCCCTGCCCTGAGCTCCTGGGAGGGGAGGCACACACAACCATTCTTTTCATTCTTTAATTCAAAATTTTTTTTTTTTTTGAGATGGAGTCTCACTCTGTCACCTAGGCTGGAGTGCAGTCGCTCGATCTCTGCTCACTGCAACCTCCGCCTCTGGGGTTCAAGCGATTCTCCTGCCTCAGCCTCCTGAGTAGCTGGGACTACAGGTGCCTGCCACCACGCCTTTCTAATTTTTATATTTTTAGTAGAGACGGGGTTTCACCATGTTGGCCAGGCTGGTCTCGAACTCCTGACTTCAGGTGATCTGACCGCCTTGGCCTCCTAAAGTGCTGGGATTACAGGCGTCCGCCACTGCACCCGGCCATAATTCATAATTCTATACTAAGTTATACCCCTTATCAGTCAATGTACTATAATTAATAATTTATTAGGTGCTTTCTATTTTCAAGTGCTCTTTACTCAGATTAAGTATTCCTCACAACTCTGTGAATTGGATGATTTTCCTACCCCCATTTTACAGATAAGAAAATTGAGGCAAGTTATGGTCCCCAATTCCCTCAGCTATATGTGAACTAGCCAGTGCCAAACCCCAGATCTGAGACCCTAGATCCTGCCCTAAACTTGTAGGGTCTGCTCATCTCATTGAATTCTGTGGAAGAAAGGGCTATGGGGAATCAATTTGAAAGACTCACTACAGTGTGTCTGAGACCTTGGAGCTTAAGACCCCAGAAGCATAAGTCAGAGGATTGTAGTTAGTTGTCCCCTCCATTACCCTGGGGAGAGCAGCTACAGAATTTGACAGTGGCCTCTAAGAGCCCCTCCTCTTATTTTTTTTTTCTTTTTTCATTTTCTGAGACAAAGTCTCACTGTGTCACCCACGCTGGACTGCAGTGGTGCTCACTGCAACCTCCGCCTCCCAGGCTGAAGCAATTCTCCTGCCTCAGCCTACCGAGTAGCTGGGACTGCAGGTGCACACCACCATGCCTGGCTAATTTTTGTTTTTGTTTTTGTTTGAGACAGAGTTTTGCTCTTGTAGCCCAGGCTGGAGTGCAATGGCACAATCTCAGCTCACTGCAACCTCCGCTTCCCAGGTTCAAGTGATTCTTCTGCCTCAGCCTCCTGAGTAGCTGGGATTACAGACATGTGCCACCACAGCTGGCTAATTTTTTGTCTTTTTAGTAGAGATGGGGTTTCACCATATTGCCCAGGCTGGTCTCAAACTTCTGACCTCAAGTGATCCATCTGCCTCAGCCTCTTTAAGTGCTGGGATTACAGGCGTAAGCCACCGTACCCGGTCAAATTTTTGTATGTTTAATAGAGACAGGGTTTTGCCATATTGGCCAGGCTGGTCTTGAACTCCTGACCTCAAGTGATCCACCTGCCTTGGCCTTCCAAAGTGGTGGGATTACAGGTATGAGCCACTGCGCCTGGACCCATCTTTTTCTTAGTGATTGTCCAACCGTGCCTCTTTGATGTTACTTCCAGCGCACATCTCATAGGGTTGGTGGGTCAGAGACATACAGACACTCAGACAATCCTTTCATGACTCCTTTTTCCTTGGTGGTTAATCTCCACTGTTCCCCCCTACCTTTTTTTAAAACAATGTTTTCTGGTTATAAAATGAACACAGCTTCTTAGAAAGTTAGTGGTGGGGCTGATAAAAGTGTAGAAAAGCAAATAAAAATCACTTAATACCATCCAGCAGGAAACTCCATTATGACTATCCAGGGAGGTTGGGGCTGCAGTGAGCTGTGACTGCACTACTGCACTCCAGCTTGAGTGACAGAGCAAGAGCTTGTCTCAAAAAAAAAAAAAAAAAAAAAAGCCAGGGCCGGTGGGGAGGCGAGTGAGTAATTTGCCTACATAATAGTTATTAACTGGTAGAACTTAAGAAACAACCTTAGCGGCCAGGCACGGTGGCTCATGCCTGTAATCCCAGCACTTTGGGAGGCTGAGGTGGGCAGATCACTTTAGGTCAGGAGTATAAGACCAGCCTGGCCAACATAGTGAAGCCCTGTCTGTACCAAAAAAATACAAAAATTAGTTGGGCGTGGTGGCGCACGCCTGTAGTCCCAGCTTCTTAGGAGACTGAGGCAGGAGAACCACTTGAACCCAGGAGACAGAAGTTGCTGTGAGCTGAGTTCGTGCCACTCTACTGCAGCCTGGGTGACAGAGCAAGACTCCATCTGAAAAAAAGAAACAATCTTAGCAAGCAAGTCAGGTAAATAATAGCAGAGTACTAAGCTTTATCCCCTCTGAAAGAAACACATGATACCAAACTGTTCATGGCAATGATCCATGAGGGGTGGGGTTGTCAGAAGTTATCACCTCAAGTGATCTGCCCTCCTCGGCCTCCAAAAGGGCTGGGATTACAGGTGTGAGCCACCGTGCCCGGCCAACCCCTTGGTATTGAGTCTATCTATGCTTCCTTACAGACAACATTTTCACGTGTTGTCACAACTTGTTGCTAGGGGAATTATGGGCGTCTGACGTGACTCCACTGGAAGAAGACCCTTGGAAGCTTGCATCTGATTTGTATCAGACTGTGCCAGGAGACTTTTCCTTGTGTTGATTTCATTTTGTACCCTTTTGCTATAATAAGTTATAGCCATGAGGCTGGGCATGGTGGCTCATGCCTGTAATCCCAGCACTTTGGGAGGCCGAGGTGGGCGGATCACGAGGTCAGGAGATTGAGACCATCCTGGCTAACACGGTGAAACCCCGTCTCTACTAAAAATACAAAAAATTAGCGGGCGTGGTGGCGGGCGCCTGTAGCCCCAGCTACTCAGGAGGCTGAGGCAGGAGAATGGCGTGAACCCAGGAGGCAGAGCTTGCAGTGAGCTGAGATCGTGCCACTGCACTCCAGCCTGGGCGACAGAGCGAGACTGCGTCTCAAAAAAAAAAAAAAAAAGTTATAGCCATGAGTAGAACCATATACTGAGTCCTGTGAGATCTCCTGGCAAATCCTCATAACTCGGGGTGGTTTGGGGGACACCTGACATAGTTTCTCTCTGCTTGTCTGGATTCTGTTCCTCCTCTTCCTTTCTTCTTTAGTTACCACACCTGGAAATGATCCCTCCCTAGACCCAGTGAGGCTGTATGCACGGGCTTTGGACATAGGGACTCCTAACAAATCTTACCTCTCCATGGCATGGCACAGGCCCTGGTAAATGGCACTTCTCGTTATGAATTGCTTAACCCCATTGGCTGGTACTTAATCTTGGTGAGTTCAGCCCTGTAAGAGCACAGGCTTTGCAGATAGATGGGTTTAAATACTCTTACTTTTGTTTTTCTAATTTTCTTTTTTACATTAAAAAAAATATTGAGACGTGGCCGGGCACAGTGGCTAACACCCGTAATCCCAGCACTTTGGGAGGCTGAGGCAGGCGGATGGCTTGAGACCGGGAGTTCGAGACCAGCCTGTGCAACATGGAGAAACCCCATCTCTACTAAAAATACAAAAATTAGCTAGGCGTGGTGGTGGGTACCTATAATCCCAGCTACTTGGGAGACTGAGGCAGGAGAATCACTTGAACCTGGGATGCTTCAATACGCTTAGACCACACCATTGCACTACAGCCTGGGCAACAGAGCGAGACTATCTAAAAAAAAAAAAAAAAAGAACTTGAGATGGGGTCTTGCTATGTTGCCCAGGCTTGTCTCTAACTCCTGGCCTGAAGTGATCCACCTACCACGGCCTCCCAAAGTGCTGGTATTACAGGCATGAGCCACCTCGCTTGGCTAACTCTTACCTTCTTGAAGTGTGTTTCTTCATCTGTAAAGTGAGTCAAATTGGGCTTATTTTGATGGAATCAGGCAAAATACTACAGATGTTCCCTGGCATACGGTAACTGTGAAGCAAATGGGAACTTTTTTTTTTCCAGGCAGGGTCTTGCTCTGTTGCCCAGGCTGGAGTACAGTGGCATGTTCATAGCACACTGCAGCCTCAAACTCCTGGGCTCAAGCAATCTTCCCACTTCAGTAGCTGGGACCATAGGCTGCCAACAGACCCGGCTAATTTTTAACACTTTTTGTAGAGATGGGGTCTCACTATGTTGCCCAGGCTGGTCTTGAACTCCTGGGCTAAAGTGATCCTCCCACTTGGCCTCCCAAAGTGCTGGGATTACAGGTGTGAGCCACCATACTCAGTCCAGAACCTTTTTTTTTAAAATGGAGTCTCACTCTGTTGCCAGGTTGGAGTTCAGTGGTGTGATCTCAGCTCACTGCAACCTCCACCTCCCAGGTTCAAGTGATTCTCCTGCCTCAGCCTCCCAAGTAGCTGGGATTACAGGCGCACGCCACCACGCCTGGCTAATTTTTGTATTTTTAGCAGAGACGAAGTTTCACCATGTTGGCCAAGCTGGTCTCAAACTCCTGACCTCAAGTGATCCACCCGCTTCTGCCTCCCAAAGTTCTGGGATTACAGGCGTAAGCCACCACACCTGGCCCAGCCCAGAAGTTTTATTATTGTTTTGTTTTTGGTGAAAAGTGATTTCCCCAATGTACAGGAAGCATCTGACTGTTCTCTCTCAGGGCTAAGTGGTCTCTTACATAAAGTAGGTGCTTGGAATTTTGTTGAAAGAATGTATTTATGGTGCAATGAAAGGCATGATTTTGTTTCCCAATAAAAATAATAAAAGTAGTAATTATAATTGAAAGTAAAAGAAAGTATTATCTCTGAGTTCCATGTGCCATGCACCATGCTAAGCAATTTGCATAGATAATTTATTTCACTTGATCTTCACAATGACACTGTGAGATAGGTACTATTATTACCCTTTTAAAGATAAGGAGGCCATGTCCAGGCACAGTGGCTCATGCCTGTAATCCCAACACTTTGAGAGGCCACCAAGGCGGGCAGATCACTAGAGCTCATGAGTTTGAGACCAGCCTGGGCAACATGGCAAAACCCTGTCTCTACAAAACGTACAAAAATTAGCCAAGCGTGGTGGTGCATGCCTGTAGTCCCAGATACTTGGAAGGCTGAGGAAGAAGGATGGCTTGAGCCTGGGAAGTGGAGGTTGCAGTGAGCCGAGATCATGCCACTGTGCTCCAGATTGGGCAACAGAGCCAGACGTTGTCTTAAATAAGTAAATAAGATGAGGACGCTGGGCATGGTGGCTCACCCCTGTATTCCCAGCACTTTGGGAGGCCAAGGTGGGTAGATAGCTTTAGCCCAGGAGTTCGAGACCAGCCTGGGCAATGTAGAGAGACCCCATTTCTACAAAAAATTAAAAAATTAGCCAGGCATGGTGGTGCCCACCTGTGGTTCCAACTACTTGGGAGGTTGAGGTGGGAGGATTGGTTGAGCCTGGGAGGTTAAGGCTGCAGTGAGCTGAGATGGCACCACTGCATTCCAGCATGGATGACAGAGCCACACCCTTTCTCAAAAACAAACAAAGAAAATACAGATGACGGTGTTACCGGGGGTCCTTGCTCCCAGAGCTCCCAAGATGGTGGTGGGCCACTTCCAAGATGGTGGCCGGCCACTTCCAAGATGGTGGCAAGCCTCGTGTTTTCTGACCTGGGGTTCTTGGCCTCAGGGATTCCAAGGAATGGAATCTTGGGCCATGCGGTGAGTGTTATAGCTCTATTAGAAGTTGTGGGTCATGGAAGAGAACCGTGGAACCCAGTGACTAGTGTTCAGCTCGATTAGGACGAACCCAGGCACTTAGCTGTGCAGGAACAATGAAAAGCCTTTAGCCCGATCGGGAGCGGCAATGGGCGCCCTGCTGTATCAGGAGCACAGAGGACACCCTGCTGGATCCAGAGGGATGGAAGTCAGCGACGGAGGCAAAACAGCAGTGGTGGATGGAAAGCTCAGCTCGAGTTGCAACAAACATGGACCAGAAGAGTGCAGTTGCAAGATCCAATAGAGTGAAATAAAGTGAAAACAGAGTTCCCATATAAGGGGAGGGGACCCAAAGGGGGTTGCCGTTGCCGGCTCGAATGCCTGGGTTTATATCCGGATCCTTGTCCCTCCTGCTGTGCTCTCAGGCAATAGATGATTGGCTATTTCTTTACCCCTGTTTTTGCCTAATTAGCATTTTAGTGAGCTCTCTGATTGGTCGGGTGTGAGCTAAGTTGCAAGCCCCGTGTTTAAAGGTGGATGTGGTCACCTTCCCAGCTAGGTTTAGGGATTCTTTGTCAGCCTAGGAAATCCAGCTAGTCCTGTCTCTCAACAGCAGCCAGGCGCGGTGGCTCATGCCTGTAATTCCAGCATTTTGGAAGGCTGAGGTGGGCGGATCACGAGGTCAGGAGATCGAGACCAGCCCAGCCAACATGGTGAAACCCCGTCTCTACTAAAAATACAAAAAAAAAAAAAAAAAAAATCAGTCGGTTGTAGTGGCGGGCGCCTGTAATCCCAGCTACTTAGTAGGCTTAGGCAGGAGAATAGCTTGAACCCGGGAGGTGGAGGTTGCAGTGAACCAAGATGGCGCTACT
This sequence comes from Homo sapiens, assembly GCF_000001405.40. Lineage (NCBI taxonomy): Eukaryota > Metazoa > Chordata > Mammalia > Primates > Hominidae > Homo > Homo sapiens. Next base: position 28,760,924 of record NC_000022.11, on the reverse strand, counting down.
GCACTCCAGCCTGGGCGACAGAGCGAGACTCCATCTTGAAAAAAAAAATACAGATGGAAAATAAGTAGGGGAGCTGGGACTTAAACCCAGGTATTAGGTAGCTTAAATAACAGCAATTTATTTTCTCACAGTTTTGGAGGCTGCAGTCCAAGCTCAAGGTGCCAGCATGGTCAATTTCAGTTTCTCTTCCTGTCTTGTAGAATCTTAATTACTTCCTTAGAGGCGCCAGAACTGCAACGTATGAATTTTGGGGGACAAAATCATTCAGTTCACAACACGAGCACTGTCTGACACCAAACTCAGGACGACATAGTCACAAATTAGTTGAAACCTCTGATTTGTTCTGACACTATATTGGGAACTGTGTGTGTGTGCCTGTGTGTGTGTGTTGGGGGTGGCGGACAGGGGGTGCTTCACTTGCTTCAATTGTTGGTCTGAAACTTTAAACCAAATTTGGCTGCCAATTTTTCAGCCGTCTATTAGCATACCTCCCACAGGGCTTTGTTAGGGAACACTTGAAAGGGTTCCTGGATTTAGAATTGCAGTTAAACTTCAGATGAGAAGGGAAAGAATTTGGAAGAGAGGGGAGAAAAAAGTAAACCCACTCACCTCAGAAGCCATGACTCAGAAATAATGTCTTTTTAATTTATTCCCCAAGTCAGACATGGTTTGTTGGGAGGCCCTGCAGCCTTTCCAGCTGATGGTAACAGGTAAGGGAAAGTTTCTTTGAAGTTCCTCCAAAGATGTGGCAATGTTGATCTGATTTGTTTTTGTGGTCAGATTGTTTTGGTCCTGATGATTGTTCTGAAGAAGGAATGAAGATTGTCTACACAAGTATTTCAAACCCTCCTTTCATTTCCTCCTTTGTTTTGCAGAAGCACCCAATTAAATGAGGACATATGCTTGCACTGTAATTATTTACTTAAAGGACTCCTGGTGTGTTTTCAGACAAGTAATTCATTCTCCTAGTATATTGTGAGGGGGTGGAATTGTACTGATGTTCCCAAGTATCATTAAGCCCGACAGCTGCTGTGGTTACTTTGCCTTCTAAAGATCAGTGAATTATAAAATGTTAACTGAGTATAACTGGTTCGGTATTCACAAGATACACATTTTTCAACAAGGATAAGAAACTGGGATAGTGGCTCATGCCTGTAATCCCAGCAGTTTGGGAGGCTGAGGCGGGTGGAACACCTGAGGTCAGGAGTTCGAGACCAGTCTGGCCAACATGGTGAAACCCCGACTCTACTAAAAATACTAAAAAATGTCCAGGCATGGTGGCAGGTGCCTGTAATCCCAGCTACTTGGGAGGCTGAGGCAGGAGAATCACTTGAACCCCGGAGGTGGAGGTTGCAGTGAGCTGAGATCGTGTTATTACACTCCAGCCTGGGTGAAAATAGCAAGATTCTGTCTCAAAAAAAAAAAAAAAAAAAAAAAGAAACTGCAAAGGAGCTACAGTTTCAAGTTCTTGGAGTAGTATTTAAACTTTGGTTCAGACTCCCTGTCTTTTTTCCAATTATAAACAGGCAATTATCTCCAGAGTTAAAATGTTGTTTCTTGGAATTTTTTTATTTTTATTTTTATTTTTATTTTTGAGACAGTCTTGCTCTGTCGCCTAGGCTGGAGTGCAGTGGTACGATCTCAGCTGACTGCAACCTCCACCTCCTGGGTTCAATCAATTCTCCTGCCTCAGCCTCCCAAGTAGCTGGGATTACAGGCATGCACCACCACACCTGGCTAATTTTTTTTATTTTTATTTTTAATAGAGACGGGGTTTTTCCATGCTGGTCAGGCTGGTCTTGAACTCCCGACCTCAGGTGATCCGCCTGCCTCGGTCTTCCAAAGTGCTGGGATTACAGGCATGAGCCACCGCGCCCGGCCTTGTTGGAATTTTTAATCAGAATTTTCTGTTTGCTATTCAAATTTTCCCTGATCCAGAGACTTTTTAAGTGTTTTTTTGTTTGTTTGTTTTTCTGGAAAGGGATCAAGAACTTAAACTGAATTTCCAAAGATACAGAAGGGGAAGTAGAGATGCACTGGGCTGAATTAGAAGAGCATGGAAATAGTGACAAGTGCATCAACTGTCCAGAGAGTAACACAACTGCTCCACTCCACTAAGATGGAGCAGAAAATGTGGTTAGTGCTTAATACCAGATTAATTCTTTTTTTTTTTTTTTTTTAAGATGGAGTTTTTTGCTCTTGTTGCCCAGGCTGGAGTGCAGTGGCGCAATCTCGGCTCCCTGCAACCTCCGCCTCCCGGGTTCAAGCGATTCTCCTGCCTCAGCCTCCTGAGTAGCTGGGATTACAGGTGCGCACCACCATGCCCAGCTAATTTTTTGTATTTTCAGTAGGGACAGGGTTTCATCATGTTAGCCAGGCTGGTCTCGAACTCCTGACCTCAGGTAATCTATCCGCCTCAGCCTCCCAAAGTACAGGGATTACAGGCATGAGCCACCATGCCCGGCCTAATACCAGATTAATTCTTTATAATATTATCTACAATTTGAAATTTAGACCAAAGAGACCCTTAGGCAGCCTTGCTTGTTAGCAAACTGAATACCCCAAGGCCACAGTACCAAAGGGGACTACCTATCTTAGGGAGGAGGATCATGCCATTAGAAAGTTGTGGCTCTTGGGCAGAGGTTGGCAGAGCCATGGCCAAATCTGGCTCATCATCTGTTTTGTAAAGTTTGACTGGCACACAGCCCTGTCCATTTGTTTTCATATTGTCTATGCTGATTTTGTGTCACAATGGCAGAACAGCAGTTACAACAGAGACCACATAGTCCAGCAGTCCCCAGCCTTTTTGGCACCAGGAAGTGGTTTCATGGAAGACTGTTTTTCCATGGATGGGGACGGTGCTGGAGGATGGTTTTGGGATGAAACTATTCCACTTCAGATCATCAGGCATTAGATTCTCACAAGGAGCATGCAACTTAGAACCCTCACATGTGCAGTTCACAATAGGGTTCATGTTCCTTTGAGAATCTAAGGCCATAGCGGATCTGACAGGAAACGGAGCTCAGGCGGTAATGCTTGCTTGCTCGCTCACTTGCCACTCACCTCCTGCTGTGGGGTCCAGTTCCTAACAGGTTGGGGACCCTTGATATAGTCCACAAAGTTGAAAATATTCACTACCAGGCCCTTTGCAGAGAAGTTTTTGGATTCCTCTTTGTAGGGCCTCAAATTGGCCCCATCTCCACCTCTTCAACCATTAGCCTACACTGGGGTCATGTTGTATCAAGTATCAGATGAAGAACTGACCACCCAAGCTCTGACTAGGCTGTGTTTCTTCCCACATGACAAACTTTGCCATCCACTAATGCTTGAGCCATAGGCTTAATTAAGATGATATAAACGGTAAAGGCTTATCTATTCCCAATTACCAGAAGCCAGAAAAGAAATATACAAGAATTTTATTTTTCATTTATTTATTTTTCAAGATTAAGTCTCACTCTGTTGCCCAAGCTGGAGTGCAGTTGCGTGATCTCTGCTCACTGCAACCTCCACCTCACGGGTTTAAGCGATTCTCCTGCCTCGGCCTACCAAGTAGCTGGGATTACAGGCACGCGCCACCATGCCCGGCTAATTTTTGTATTTTCAGCAGAGACGGGGTTTCACTATGTTGGCCAAGCTGGTCTTGAACTCCTGACCTTGTCATCCACCCACCTCAGCCTCCCAAAGTGCTGGGATTACAGGTGTGAGCCACTGTGCCCAGCAAGAACTTTATTTTTTAAACTTTAAACTATCCACAATTAAAGGGGAATCTTCTTTAACTTGATCTTTTCTTCTATATTTGAAAAGTATCTCATCTTTGTCAAAATTTCCTTGGCTTCTTCAAAGTCATCTGAAATAGACAGAGACACTGAAGTCAGGCTTCATTTCAAGCAAGAATAAAACCAACTCTGATGACTAGGGCAGCGATATATAAGTGGAGCCCTGGGGTCCGGAGGGCTCATCAATTCCTCAGTAAGACTGAGCAACGAAGAGGGAGAACATCTGGATTGTTAAGGAGACACAGGGATAAACCAAATGGGGCGAGAGTTGTGTAAGAGCATGTGTACAGGATTCACATAAATTAGAGAAGTTGATTCTCTTCAGGACAGTCCCAAGTAATAAATGGGTGGTGGAAGCTAGATGCAGGAGCTCATACCTGCTATCCCAGCATTTTGGGAGGCTGAGGCGGGAGGATGGCTTGAGCCCAGGAATTGAAGACCAGCCTGGGCAACAAAGCAAGACCCTGTCTTTACCAAAAATAAAAAATAAAAAATAAAAAATAAAATAAAAAATTAGCCAGGCATGGTGGCACATGCCTGTAGTCCTGGCCACTCGGGAGGCTGAGGTGGGAGGATCCCTTGAGCCCAGGAGTTTGAGGTTGCACTGAGCTATGACTGTGCCACTGTACTTCAACCTGGGCGACAGGGTGAGACCCTGTCTCTTTAAAAAAAAAAAAAAAAGGGTGGGTGGTTGTGTTTTAAAAATTTCTCCCTAACATGTGGTGGTATACTGAGGATATGAAAGCACTGAATGCTTCCTCTATGCCAGGTGCTGAGGCATAGAGCTGCCTTCAGGGGGCTTACAGTTCAGGTGCTGAGGCACAGAGGTACCCTCCGGGGGCTTATAGTTCCCAAGAAAGACACCTTTAGACCGGTGATTTTCCTTTTTTTTTTTTTTTGTGAGATGGAGCCTCACTCTGTTGCCCAGGCTGGAGTACAGTGGCGTGATCTCAGCTCACTGCAACCTCCACCTCCCGGGTTCAACCAATACTCATGCCTCAGTCTCCAGAGTAGCTGGTACTACAGGGTGTGCGCCACCATGCCTGGCCAATTTTTGCATTTTTAGTAGAGGCAGGGTTTCACCATGTTGGCCATGGCTGCTCTCAAACTCCTGATCTCAAGTGATCCGCCTGCCTTGGACTCCCAAAGTGCTGGGATTATAGGTGTGAGCCACCATGCCTGGCCAGACCAGTGATTTTCAACTGGGGATGATTTTGCCCCCATGGGGACATCTGGCAATGTCTGGAGATATTTTTGGTTGTCACAGCTGGGAGGTAGTACTGACATCTGGTGGGTACAGGCCAGGGATGCTGCTAATCATCTTATAGTACTCAGGACAGCTCCCCCAAACGAAGAATTATCTGGCTTACAATATCCGTAGTGCCAAGGTTGAGAAAACCTGACTTAGATAAGTAAAACACAATGTGAAGAGTGCTAAAATGAAGATATGTTATAACCATTTGCATCATTCCAGATGACTCCAAAAATAAAATATTAAGCAAAAAAGTCACAGAAGGATATGTATTATTTATATAAAGAAAAATATGTGAGACTAAATAATATACTATTATGTACATATATGGTTAAAACTATCAAGAAAAGCAAGGGAATGAGTAACACAAAATTCAGGAGTGGTTACTGTGGAAGGGAGATGTAATGGCAAAATGTCAACCAGGGACTTGGAAGGCCTTGGTCGTATTTCATTTCTCAATTTAATTTATTTAACATTTTATTTTTTTGAGATGGAGTCTTGCTCTGTCACCCAGGCCGGAGTGCAGTGGCGCAATCTTGGCTCACTGCAAACTCTGCCTCCCCGGTTCACGCCATTCTCCTGCCTCAGCCTCCTGAGTAGCTGGGACTACAGGTGCCCGCCACCTTGCCCGGCTAATTTTTTGTATTTTTAGTAGAGACGGGGTTTCACCGTGTTAGCCAGGATGGTCTCCATCTCCTGACCTCGTGATCCGCCCGCCTCGGCCTCCCAAAGTGCTGGGATTACAGGCGTGAGCCACCGCGCCCGGCCTATTTAACATCTTTTTTGTATTCAAAAAATTTTAGGGCCAGGCGCGGTGGCTCACGCCTGTAATCCCAGCACTTTGGGAGGCCGAGGTGGGCGGATCATGAGGTCAGGAGTTCAAGACCAGCCTGGCCAACATGGTGAAATCCCATCTCTACTAAAAATACAAAAATTAGCCGGGTGTGGTGGCAGGCTCCTGTAATCACAGCTACTTGGGAGGCTGAGGCAGGAGAATCACTTGAAACCGAAAGGCTGAGGTTGCAGTGAGCTGAGATCATGCCACAGTACTCTAGCCTGGGCGAAAGAGCAAAACTCAGTCTCAAAAAAAAAAAAAATTAAGTTGGTAACACATGACATAAAATTCATCATGTTAGCCATTTCTAAGTGTACAGTTCAATGACATTAAGTACATTCACATTGTTGGGCAAGCATCACCACCATCCATCCACATAACTTTTTTTTTTTGAGATAGAGTCTTGCTTTGTTGCCCAGGCTGGAATGCAGTGGCATGATCTTGGCTCACTGCAGCCTCCACCTCCCGGGTTCAAGTGATTCTTGTGCCTCAGACTCCCAAGTAGCTGGGATTACAGGCATGCATCATCACACCTGGCTAATTTTTGTATTTGCAGTAAAGACGGGGTTTCACCATGTTGGTCAGGCTGGTCTCAAATTCCTGCCCTGAGATGATCTGTCTGCCTCAGTCTCTCAAAGTGCTGGGATTACAGGTGGGAGCCACCGTGCCTGACCTTCCACAGAACTCTTTTCATCTTGCAAAACTGAAGCTCTCTACTTATGAAATAACTCTCTATTTTCCTCTTCCTGACTCTATCCCCCCACAACCACCATTCCACTTTCTCTATGAATCTGACTACCACAGGTACCTCATATAAGTGGAATTATATAGTATTTGTCCTTTTGTGACTGACATTTCACATAGTACAATGTCCTCAAGGTTCATCCATGTTGGAGCCTGTGTCAGATTTTTTTTTGTTTGTTTGTTTTTGAGATGGAGTTTCGCTCTTGTTGCCGTCAGGAGTGCAGTGACACGATCTCGGCTCACTGCAAACTCCACCTTCCAATTTCAAGCGATACTCCTGCCTCAGCCTCCTGAGTAGCTGGGATTACAGGCATCTGCCACCACACCCAGCTAATTTTTCAGAGACGGGGTTTCACCATGTTGGCCAGGCTGGTCTAGAACTCTTGACCTTGTGATCTGCCGACCTTGGCCTCCCAAACTGCTAGGATTACAGGCGTGAGCCACCGCGCCCGGTCCTGTGTCAGAATTTCTTTTTTTTTTGAGATGGAGTCTCCCTGTGTCACCCAGGCCGAAGTGCAGTGAGGTGGTCTCCACTCACTGCAAGCTCCACCTCCCAGGTTCACGCCATTCTCCTGCCTCAGCCTCCTGAGTAGCTGGGACTACAGGTGCCCGCCACCACGCCTGGCTGATTTTTTGTATATTTAGTAGAGACGGGGTTTCACCGTGTTAGCTAGGATGGTCTCGATCTCCTCACCTCATGACCCACCCGCCTCAGCCTCCCAAAGTGCTGGGATTACAGGCGTGAGCCACCGTGCCCGGCTGGTGTCAGAATTTCTATCCTTTTTTTTTGAGTTGGAGTTTTTCTCTTGTCGCCCAGGCTGGAGTGCAATGGTGCGATCTCAGCTCACTGCAACATCTGTCTCCCGGGTTCAAGCGATCTTCCTGCCTCAGCCTCCTGAGTAGCTGGGATTACAGGCGCCCGCCACCATGCCACCCTAATTTTTTTGTATTTTTAGTAGAGATGGGGTTTTACCATGTTGGCCAGGCAGGTCTCGAACTCCGGACCTCAAATGATCCGCCCGCCTCAGCCTCCCAAAGTGCTGGGATTACAGATGTGAGCCACCACGCCCGGTCTAATGTTGCTTTTATTATTTTGAAAACACTTTGTTAGATCAATTTAAAAAATAAGTTTTAATTTTGCATTTACTTATTCCTTTCTCCAATGGTCTTCCTTTCGTTATGTAGACCCAAGTTTCCGACCTATATAAATTTCCTCCACTCTAAATAATTTTTTTTTTTGAGATGGCATCTCATTCTGTCACCCAGGTTGGAGTGCATTGGCGTGATCTCGGCTCACTGCAACCTCCGACTTCCGGGATCAAGCCATTCTCCTGCCTCAGCCTTCGGAGTAGCTGGGATTACAGGCGAGCGCCACCATGCCTGGCTACTTTTTGTATTTTTAGTAGAGACGGGGTTCCACCATGTTTGTCAGGCTGGTCTCGAACTCCTGACCTTGTGATCCGCCCACCTTGGCCTCTCAAAATGTGGGGATTACAGGCGTGAGCCACCACGCCTAGCCAATCAATTCTTTTAACATTTTTTTTACGTGGCAGGTCTCCTGTCAACAAATTTTTTTTTTTTTTTGAGATGGAGTCTCGCTCTGTTGCACAGGCTGGAGTGCAGTGGCGCGATCTCTGCTCACTGCAAGCTCCGCCTCCCGGGTTCACGCCATTCTCCTGCCTCAGCCTCCCGAGTAGCTGGGACTACAGACGGTCACCACCAGGCCTGGCTAATTTTTTGTATTTTTAGTAGAGACAGGGTTTCACTGTGTTAGCCAGGATATTCTCAATCTCCTGACCTTGTGATCCGCCAGCCTCAGCCTCTCAAAGTGCTGGGGTTACAGGCATCATTAACCATGCCCGGCCCAATTTTTTTTTTTTTTTTTTTTGAGACAAAGTCTTGCTCTGTCACCAGGCTGGAGTGCAGTGGCGTGATCTTGGCTTACTGCAGCCTCCGCCTCCCAGGTTCAAACGATTCTCCTGCCTCAGCCTCCCTAGTAGCTGGGATTACAGGCGCGCCACTGCGCCTGGCTAATTTTGTATTTTTAGTAGAGATGGGGTTTCACCATGTTGGCCAGGATGGTCTTGATCTCTTGATCCACCCGCCTCGGCCTCCCAAAGTGTTGGGATTACAAGTGTGAGCCACCGCGCCCAGCCCAAATTCCTTCAATTTTTATTTGCCTGAGAATAGCTTCATTCCTCCTTCAGGTTTTTTTTTTGTTTGTTTTGAGAGGGAGTCTCGCTTTGTTGCCCAGGCTGGAGTGCAGTGGCGTGATCTTGGCTCACTGCAACCTCAGCCTCCCTGGTTCAAGCAATTCTCCTGGCCTCAGCCTCTTGAGTAGCTGGGACTGTAGGCACATGCCACCACACTCAGTTAATTTTTGTATTTTTAGTAGAGCTGGAGTTTCACCATGTTGGCCAGGCTGGTCTCAAACCCCTAACCTCAAGTGATCTGCCCACCTCACCCTCCCAAAGTGTTGGGATAACAGGCGTGAGTCACTGTTCCCAGATCACTTTTTTGATATAGTTTGTTTCTCTAGAAAGGCAGAAATGTTGATTTTTTTTTTTTTTTTGAGATGGAGTCTCGCTCTGTCACTCAGGCTGGCGTGCAGTGGCACGATCTCAGCTCACTCCAACTTCCGCCTCCCTGGTTCAAGCGATTCTCCTGCCTCAGCCTCCCAAGTAGCTGGGACTACAGGCGTTGTGCCACCACACCCAGTTAATTTTGTATTTTTAGTAGAGACAGAGTTTCACCGTGTTAGCCAGGATGGTCTCAATCTCCTGACTTCGTGATCCGCCCGCCTTAGCCTCCCAGTGTTGGGATTACAGGCATTAGCCACCGTGCCTGGCCAGAAATGTAGATTCTTAAAGGCATTTTTTTAAAGACAGAAATGTAGACTCATAAGTATTTCATATCTCCCTATATAGCTATCATAGGAAGGTATATAATAGCTAGTTATTGAATGAATGGCTATGCTTCAGTGCTTGAAATTTCTTTCCATATTTAAGAAAGTGAAGAAAAGAAAGTACCTTGTTCAAAAGCACTGCTCACATTGTCAGTAAATTCTTTCTGTTTAGCTGAAAAAGAAAACCATTCTGTTAATTTTTCCATTGAAATAGACTCATAATATGAAGACAATACTTAAACTTTGTAATCATGCTGGTTTGAACACAACAAAGGAGGAAGTTTGTATTCAAGGGTAAGGCTTCATAACCTTTGTCTCTGTGTGTACCATGATGGCAGCTGCTGTTTAGCACAACTCTGGTTTACCCTAATAACACTGTTTTTCCAACCATGAAAGGTCTAAGGAGCAATCACCAAGGCTTATAAAATGGCTATAGAATCAGTAAAAAAAAAAAAAAAAAAAAAAAAGACAAAGATATACTTTGATTATCTCCACGAAACAGTTTGGGTCTTCGACATTTCAGCAAGGAGAACATTAACATGCTGGGAACACCTATCAGTAAAGCATTACTGAGTGTTTCCGGCAACCACTTGCAAACTGTATAGCCTCTCAGGAAAATGAAAACATTTACATCATGTTGTGTCATAAGGGAGAAGATGCCAAACAAAATAAAGCAGCAGCTATCTCATATTTCTCGTTTCCTTGTTAGAAAATGAGGAATTTTCCAGTAATCTCATTTTCCAGATATAAATAGTGTCAGTTATTTATATGGTGTCGTCTTTCGAAGCACTGTCAAATACATTATATCCGTAAGGCAGGAAATGACAGGTATTGGGGGAATTGTCCCATGGGTGATGAGTGGAAGAGCTGGGAACAGAATCCAAGTCACTTGACTCCCAGTCCGGTGTTTGAAACTCATCTCTCAGGTAGCAGTGTGGTGTCCACAAAAGAACAACAGACTAGGAACCTGGAGGTTCTTAAGCCCTGACCCTAAAATTAACTAGCTCTATGCCCTTGAACATTAATTTTACCTGGGCCATAGCAGATACCTTACAGGAGAAAATTTAGGAATTAATCTAAATTAAGGTCAGTGAGCTGCTCAAAGTCAAATGTTTACTATAGGGCTAGAATAAGTGTTTTTTTTTTTTTTTTTTTTTTTTTTTTTGAGACAGTTTCGCTCTTGTTGCCCAGGCTGTAGTGCAATGGTGCGATCTCGGCTCACTGCAACCTCCACCTCCTGAGTTCAAGCAATTCTCCTGCCTCAGCCTCTGAAGTTGCTGGGATTATAGGTGTGTGCCACCATGCCCGGCTAATTTTGTATTTTTAGTAGAGACAGGGTTTTGCCATGTTGGTCAGGGTGGTCTTGAACTCCTGACCTCAGGTAATCTGCCCATCTCAGCCTCCCAAAGTAATGGGATTATAGGCATAAGACACCAAACCTGGCCTAGAATACATGCTTTTACGTGCTTTATCTCATTTAACTTGATCCCCACAACCACCAGTACTAATATTATCTCCACGTACAGATGAGGAAATTGAGGCTCAGAGGAATGAAGTCATTTGTTCAAGGTCACGCAAAGTCAGTAGCACGCTGCCCTCACTCCAGATCTTCATGCTGCCCTGACGTCTAAAATTGGGCAGCTGAGCCCACTGACTGCAACTCCTGAGTTTCTCTTATCCCTACAACCCAGTCCTAATGCTGTGAACATATCTCCAAGCTGACGGTCCCCTCACCACAAATTCTATATTACTGCTTTAAACATCTTTTCTCATTACTGTTTGCTCATTTAGTAAATACCAAGTTCCTTTTAAACTATAAGTACTTTTCTGTGAGCTGAGGATGTGAGGGAAGCAAAAAGTAGACATGATTTCTCCTGCAGAACTTCCAGTCTAATGAGGGAGGCTGATATTGATCAATTAATGTCACATAGAACAGTAAAGTTATAACTGTGATTAGTCCTACAAAAGAAATAGCCACTACTAATAGATAGCTTAAAAAGGCTTCTCTGAGGAAGTGATGATTGCCTTCAGATCTGAAGAAGGAGGGGTTAACTTAAATGGGGCGGAGGAGAGGAGGGTTTCAGGCAGAAGCAACAGGCCCTAGGGTAGGAGGGTGCCCAGTATAGATGAGGAACTGGAAGTGGTCATTGTGGCTGGAGTGGAGAAGGCAAAACAGAGAGAAGCAGAGGCCACGGCATCCGGGCCCTGTAAGGGATGCTAAAGAGTTTTAGAGCAGTGAGAAGCCACTTAAAAGTTTTTTTTTTTTTTCTTTGAGACGTGTTTTCGCTCTGTTGCTGAAACTGGAGTGCAATGGTGCAAACACGGTTCACTGCAGTCTCCACCTCCTGGGCTCAAGTGATCCTTCTGCTTCAGCCTCTCGAGTAGCAGGGACTACAGGCATGCGCCACCACATCTGGTTAATTTTTAAATTTTTAATGGAGATGGGGGTCTTGCTATGTTGACTAGGCTAGTCTTGAACTCCTGGGCTCAAGTGATCCTTCCACTTCAGCCTCCCAAAGTGCTTGGATTACAGGCGTAAGCCATCACACCTGGTCAATTGAAATAAGGCCAAGAGTAGTGATTAGATTTGGGTTTTGGCCGGGCTTGGTGGCTCACACCTGTAATCCCAGCACTTTGGGAGGCTGAGATGGATGGATCACCTGAGGTCAGGAGTTTGAGACCAGCCTGGGCAACATGGTAAAACCCCGTCACTACTTAAAAAAAATAGAAAAATTAGCCAAGCATGGTGGCACGCACCTGTAGTCCCAGCTACTTGGGAGGCAGAGGCAGGAGAATAGCTGGAACCTGGGAGGCGGAGGTTGCAGTGAGCCGAGATCATGCCAGTGCACTCCAGCCTGGGCAACAGAGCAAGACTCTGTCTCAAAAACAAAACAAAACAACAAAAAAAAACGCTTGGGTTTCAAAAAGATTCCAGTGACAGTGAAGGGATTTGTTAGATGGGGCCTGAAGGTACGGACAGACCAGTGAAAAGCTACTGCAGTTGTCCAGGTGAGAGTGAATGGTAGCTTGGAAAAGGCTGGTGGCAGTGAAAGTAGAGATGGGTGGATGAATTTGAGGCAAATTTAAGTCAGCTCTTTCAGATGTAATAGATTGACTATGGGCATAAGGAAGAAGAAGGTTGTTAAGGCCTCCTCAGAATTTACGCTTGTGCAAGTGGTGTCACTCTCTCAGGGAACACTGGAAGAGGAACAGATTATTATTATTTTTTATTCGGAGTCTCGCTCTGTCACTCAGGCTGGAGTGCAGTGGCACAATCTCGGCTCACTGCAACCTCCGCCTCCCGGGTTCAAGCGATTCTCCCGCCTCAGCCTCCCGAGTAGCTGGCACTACAGGCGTGTGCTAACACGCCCGGCTAATTTTTTATATTTTTAGTAGAGACAGGGTTTCATCATGTTACCCAGGATGGTCTTGATCTCCTGACCTCGTGATCTGCCTGCCTCGGCCTCCCAAAGTGCTGGGATTACAGGCGTGAGCCACTGCACCCAGCCTAAGAGGAACAGATTTTTTTGGGGGGGAAAGGTGGGGAGGGGAGACACTTGGGAATTCCATTTTGGGTACAGTTGACATATATAAACTCCAAGAAGGCACAGTCTTTCTTGTTCCGTGCTGTATCCTCAGTGTCATGCACAGTGCTTGATATTTGTAGGTACACTACAAATATTTGTGAAAGTACATAACTGAATATAGTCTAACGGAGAACCTTGGAATCTTTTCTATGTGGAATGGTTAATTTTATGCGTCAACTTGGCTAGGCTATGGTGCCCAGTTGCTTGATCAAACACTAATCTATGCCAGGCACATTGAGTCACACCTGTAATCCCAGCACTTTGGGAGACTGAGGAAGGTGGATTGCTTTGAACCTAGGAGTTTGAAGCCAGCCTGGGCAACATGGTGAAACCCCATCTGTATAAAAGACAGAAAAAATTAGCCAGGCATGGTGATGCATGCCTGTAGTCCCAGCTATCCAAGAGGCTAAGGTGAGAGGACTGTTTGAGCCCATGGGTCAAGGCTGCAGTGAGCTGTGATTGCAACACTGCGCTCCAGCCTGGGTGACAGAGTGAGACCATGTCTCAAAAAAAACAAAAACCAACTAGTTTAGATGATCCTGTGAAAGTATTCGTAGATGTGATTAACATTTATAATCAGTTGACTTTAAGTAACAGATGTTACTCTATATAATGTGGGTGGGCCTCATCCAATCAAGTAGAGGCATTAAGTGCAAAAACAGGTTTTCTGGGAAGGAATTCTGTATCAAGACTGTAACATAGAAATCCTGCCTGGACTTTCAGCCTGCTTATCTACCCCTATAGATTTTGTTTATTTTTTTTGTGACAGGGTCTCACTCTGTCACTCAGGCTGGAGTACAGTGGTGTGATCTCAGCTCACTGCAACCTCTGCCTCCTGGGCTCAGATGATTCTCCCACCTCATCCTCCTGAATAGCTGGGACCACAAGTGCGCACCTCCACGCTTGGCTGATTTTTTTTTTTTTTTTGAGACGGAGTCTCACTCTGTCGTCCAGGCTATAATGCAGTGGCACGATCTGGGCTCACTGCAAGCTCCGCCTCCCAAGCTCAAGCGATTCTCCTGCTTCAGCTTCCCGAGTAGTTGGGATTACAGGCATGCACCACCATGCCTGGCTAATTTTGTATTTTAGGCAGAGACGGGGTTTCTCCATGTTGGCCTGGCTGGTCTCGAACTCCCAACCTCAGGTGACCCACCCGCCTTGGCCTCCCAAAGTGCTGGGATTACAGGCGTGAGCCACCACACCTGGCCTACGCTTGGCTGATTTTTTTGTATTTTTTTAGAGATGGGGTTTCGCCACGTTGCCCAGGCTGGTCTCGAACTCCTGGACTCAAGTGATCTGCCTTCCTCGGCCTCTCAAAATACTGGGATTACAGGCATGAGCCACTGTGCCCAGCCCTACCCTATAGATTTTAGATGTGTCAGCTCCCACAATTATGTGAGCTAATTCCTTAAAATAAATAACCTTTTTTTTTTTTTTTTTTTTTTGAGATGGAGTCTCGCTCTGTCGCCCAGGCTGGAGTGCAGTGGCCTGATCTCCGCTTACTGCAATCTCTGCCTCTCGGGTTCACGCCATTCTCCTGCCTCAGCCTCCCGAGTAGCTGGGACTACAGGCACCCGCCACCACGCCCGGCTAATTTTTGTATTTTCAGTAGAGACAGGGTTTTACCATGTTGGCCAGGCTGATCTTGAACTCCTGACCTCAGGTGATCCACTTGCCTTGGCCTCCCAAAGTGCTGGGATTATAGGCGTGAGCCACTGCACCCGGGCCATTATATACTCTACGTTCATTTTTCACTAATCCTTGGACAAGTGTTCATAACAGCAATGAAATACATTCAGTGCTATTTTATCTTTCACCTTTGACAATGGATTCAATCTCTTTCATGGCAGCTTCACTTTCAGCTTCTGCGAGTTTTTCATTGATTTCCATTATTTCTATGAGGAATTGCCTGTCCATTTCATAATCTGTCCTTTCAGGAATCTCTATTCCATGGAGCTTTAGCTATTGGGGTAGAAAGCAAGAAAAATAAGTTGAAGAAGCTATGGGCAGAGTAATGTAAATCCTACTCATCCATTAGGAAATAATACCACTAATAGAGAAAACTGCAACTGTCCCGATAATGAAAGACTAAGGGGTATCAAAAGCTTGGACTGAAACAGAAATGCTGGAATGGGATTTCCACTCATGCTACCCAAAACTATGTGACCTTGGTGTGATCTTGGGGTAGTCATTCCTCCACTCAGAGGTTGAACTAGATGTTTGTAAAGATTCTATTCAATTATAAAATTTTCTAGATTGTAAGATACTTTTTTTTTTTTGAGATGAAGTCTCACTCTGTCGCCCAGGCTGGAGTGCAGTGGTGTGATCTCAGCTCACTGCAACCTCTGCCTCCTGGGGAAGCAATTCTCTGCCTCAGCCTCCCGAGTAGCTGGGATTACAGGCACCCGCCACCATGCCCGGCTAATTTTTTTGTATTTTTGGTAGAGGCGGGGTTTCACCATCTTGACCAGGCTGGTCTTGAACTCCTGACCTCGTGATCCACCCGCCTCGGCCTCCCAAAGTGCTGGGATTACAGGCGTGAGCCACCATGCCTGGCCTCTTAAGATACTCTGGAGAGGAAAAAAAAACAAAACAGAAAATGACTCTTAACTAAAAGCTACCATCATCAAATCCTTGAAATTCACAGAAAAAAGCTAGAAAATCACAATTTAAAAAATGCAGTTGAGGCAAGTAATATTCACAGAGAAAATTATACTTGTGCTCTGAGGCTAAATACTATTGGGTCCCTGGACTTTTTTTTTTTTTTTTTGAGAGGGTGCAGTAGTACAATCACAGCTCACTGCAGCCTTGACCTCTCAGGCTCAAGTGATCCTCCTGCTTCAGCTTCCAGAGTAGCTGGGACTACAGGTGTATGCCAACATGCCCAGCTAATTTTTGTATTTTTTGTAGAAATGGGGTGTCATCATGTTGCCCAGGATGGTCTTGAACTCCTGGGCTGAAGTGATCTGACCACCTCAGCCTCTGAAAGTTCTGGGATTACAGGTGTGAGCCACCATGCCTGACCTCAAGCACTCTTCTGCTGAATAAAGGGGACGTGGCTGTCCTACGCCATAATGGGCATCAGGACGTCATACACAGAAGTGTTGGGAAATCACCTTACAAGGTACAGTCCTCTGCTCAGGGGGGCCAGGAGGGTCTTATAGGCATCATTCACCAGGGTCGAATGCTTCTCTGAGAAGTCCTTTTCAGTCTGTTAGTGGAGATGAAGATAGTACTATTACCATCCAAATCACAAAGTTTTTTTGTTTTTGTTTTTGTTTTGACGTTGAGTCATCCAGGCTGGAGTGTGCAGTGGCGCGAACTCAGCTCACTGCAACCTCCACCTCCCACGTTCAAGTGATCCTCCTGCCTTAGCCTCCCAAGAAGCTGGGACTACAAGCATGTGTCACTGCACTGGGCTAATTTTTATATTTTTAGTAGAGACAGGGTTTCACCCTGTTGGCCAGGCTGGTCTTGAACTCCTGACTTCAAGTGATCTGCCTGCCTCGGCCTCCCAAAGTGTTGGGATTACAGGCGTGAGTCACTGTGCCAGGCCCACAAAGTTTTATAATATTCTAATGGGCAGGCACCTAAGGAAGTGGTTAAGTAGAGCTGGTGTGGGATGAGGTGTCTTTATATTCAGCTGATAGGTTTTAAGTTATCTGGGAAGTCAGACAAAAGCTGTGAGTGAATGGCAGCTCTGGGTCTGACAGGCTGGGGTCAGACTGCCATGGGGCAGACACAGCTGATTTTCCAGCTCAGTCCCTGATAATCACATAACCACAAGGCTACTGCCACCCAGTGTGCACACATATTTGGGGATTATTGGGGTTGGCCAATAAGCTACCTGAGACCTCTGGCTGAAGAAATCTGGGTGGACAAGACGCTGCAGTTGCTGGTACCTGTGCTGGAGCTTCGCTGTATCAACTCTGAAGGAACGGTTGCTGGAAGGAAATTGGGAGATTAAATTTATACAACAAATATTTAAAGGTTTATCTACCATGAGCCTGGTTCTTGCTCTTATGGGGAAGATGCAATAACATATAAGCAGTTAATTTCAAAAAGTGGTAAGTCCTATGAAGGGACACAGAACAGAGTCAGAGAGTGTAGCAGATGTAGTGGACAAAGAGATGACACTCAGCTGAAACCTGAATGATGATGAGTAATCAAAGATCAGAGGAAAGAGACGTCCAGGTAGAATTGCAAGAGCAAGGACCTCGAGGTGGGAGCAAGATGGGGATGCCTGAGGAACTTAAAGATCAGCGTTACTGTAGCCCCTCATACATGTTCAGTGACTGGTGGGGAAGATCCCATAGTTAAGGAAAAGGGACATTCCTAAATTACACAGACAAAGATTCTTTGCCTGGCCAAACTTTAGTCAGATTTCTGAACCTTCTCCTAGGCCCAGATGTATGCTTTCTTGTAAAATACAGTTTTGGCAAATAATCTTGCCAAGTCAGTTTAGCTAGAATCCTCGATCCTCATATTTTTGATCATCCTAGATCTCTGATCAGATTCTTCATCCTCTACTATCCCCCAGGTGGTGTCTAAGCAGCCTGGCCTGTCTTCAGCAAGAATCCCGTTAGGTCGGCTTAGCCAGAATCCCGTTTACTCTGCTCCTTGGCTACAAATTTCCTTCTGCCCATGCCCTTTTTGGAGTTGAGACCAATCTCTCTCCCCAACTGCAAGACCCTATTGCAGTGGCCCCTCTACAAGATGGTCTTGAAGAAAGTCTTTCTGGTGCTTGAACAAGTGTGACTGAATCATGTTTTCTTTAATACCACCCTAACTTTTCCACGGCCCAGGTCCCTTCATCCCTGTCTCTCCCGGTTTATTTTAATTCAGCCCCTTTCACATTCTACTCCCAGAGTCTGTCCTATTTCCTTACCAGTTCAGCTCTATCCACACTGCCCCGTCTCTCCAAGAACCTCAGTCTCAGGGGGAAAAACCATTTATTGGACCCTCTCCCTCCAATTCTCACTTTTCCCTCAGGCCTCGCCCACAATATTAAGCTTTTCATGCTTTACTCCCTAATCTCGGATCACACTTCTGCAGTCCTTTCTTAAATACATCAACCCAACTTTAAACCTTACTCACCCTATTCATTCAAGTCTTCCAGTCTCCCAGGCCCTGCCCCTCAAGTACCCTTTCCTCAAGTTCCGCCCCTCGACTTCTCCTTCCCTTTCCCGTAGGTACCGCCCCTCAAATCTCCCTCCCCTCTAGCCTCGGCCCCCCTATTTCCTCTAACTTCAGCGCCCGCCCCTCCAGTCCCGTTCGTCTCCCTTCTCCACACCTCAACGTTGCTTCCCTCAGTCCCCGCCTCTCAATTTCCTCCTGAGAAATCAAGACACTTCTCTCACGCCTGCTCTCTAGACCTCCGCCCCCCCATCAGTCCCGCCTTCTCTTCCGCCAGCCAGATCCGTCCTCCCCTCTCGCAGGCCAGACCTCGACGTGTCTCTCGCCCGGGCCCGTTTCCCGAAACCGTCGCTCGTACCAGTCCATAAGGCTGAAGTAGTCTCGAGTGGGGTCAGGTGCCTGCAGCGCTCGGCACTGTGGGCAGAAGAACCTGTCCTCCCGCCCGGGGCCCCATGGGCCGCCGCAGTTCCAACAGCGGGGATAATTGCTTCCCGCCTGCGACGCAGCATCGCAGCTTAGCGGTCTCCTTCTGGGAACCCCTGTCGGCCAAAACCCCCACACCCGGAGCAAAGCCCCGGCTCTCCCCCGCCACATCTGGCCGGCGGCCTATCTAGCCGTGGTCACTCGTGGGGAAAAGCAAAGAGAGCGTCTAACCAGACTAATGTTGCTGATTGGCTG
The DNA here is from genome assembly GCF_000001405.40 of Homo sapiens. NCBI lineage: Eukaryota > Metazoa > Chordata > Mammalia > Primates > Hominidae > Homo > Homo sapiens. The sequence continues at coordinate 28,742,011 of NC_000022.11, read as the reverse complement.
GGGAGTCGAGGGGGCGGGATCACCCGAGGGGAACCCGGGTTCTAAGTTCCGCTCTCCCTTCTAAACTACAACTCCCAGGAGGCATTGAGGCGGCGCCTGACGGCCACATCTGCTGCTCCTCATTGGTCCGGCGGCAGGGGAGGGGGTTTTGATTGGCTGAGGGTGGAGTTTGTATCTGCAGGTTTAGCGCCACTCTGCTGGCTGAGGCTGCGGAGAGTGTGCGGCTCCAGGTGGGCTCACGCGGTGAGTCATATGGGGAACTTCTGTTGGGTGTTTGGTGGTTCGAATCCCATCTTAAGCGTTTTGTGCGAACGGAGTCTCCTGAGCTTCGCTTTGTCTGTAGTTTTGAGCTGAAGGGGGAGTGTGTGGGCGACTCTCTTCCTTTTCAGTAGATCATCCTCGAGGTGAAGTTCACTTCCCGTATTACTTGCAAGCTGAAACAGGCCTGAACATACAGGATAAGAAGAACAGCGTTGTATTCTTCAATATCAGAGCGAAGTGACTTCGTAAAAATTCTATAGATGTTAGAAATCGTTGCCATTCTTTAGGTTCAATCTATAAAATACTTATAGAGAAGCCAGTCTTAGCTACTGGGCGCTGCAGGGACTGGAAACGCACTGAGCTGTGTAGGAGGATGTTCTGCGTGTCCCTAAATAAGTCCCTAAGTAAATGTATGGGATAGGGTGGCCAGAAGTGGGTAGGAGGGCATCAGTCCTCCTTCGGACTTAGGTTTTCTGCTTGAAAAAAATATTGTGTTTCACTTGAAAGACCTCTGGAATTTTTAAAAAAAATTATTTATTTTTGATATAAAGTATACATATATGATTACCATCTGTACCTTTTTTTTTTTTTTTTTTTTTTTTGAGACGGAGTCTCTCTCTGTTGCCAGGCTGGAGTGCAGTGGCGCGATCTGGGCTCACTGCAACTTCTGCCTCCTGGGTTCAAGCGATTCTCCTGCCTCAGCCTCCTAAGTATCTGGGATTATAGGTACCCGCCACCATGCCCGGCTAGTATTTTTAGTAGAGACGAGGTTTCACCATGTTGGCCAGGCTGATCCCGAACTCCTGACCTCAGGTGATCCACCTGCCTTGGCCTCCCAAAGTGCTGGGATTACAGGTGTGAGCCACCGCGCCCGGCCTATTTTCAATTTTTTGAGGAATCACAATACTCTTCTCTATAGTGGCTATACTAATTTGCATTCCCACCAGTGGTGTATGTGAACAGTGCAAGGTCAGACATAACCAGGTCCATGCACATTTGTGTCTTTCCACAAGATCAGACTTATTGATGTTTTATTTTAATTGTAAAAGCCACGAGCTATATGGAGTTCCCAAGGAAGCAATTTTCCGTAGTACTCCCTGTTTACTTGGTGGTCAGAGCCATGGGCACACAGGCTCAAGCCATTCCACAAGTCAGTCAGTATTGTAAACCGTACACAATAGTATATTTATTTAATATGTAAATGTTATAGATTAAAAATCTTACATTAAAGTAACATTTAACATTCGGAGAAAAGGGGATAGGGAAAGTGGTTATCAAACCAGTCCAAGGAGAGCAATGTGGACAAAGAGAGTGTTTTGGCTTTATCTGGGGTGTCAGTGTCTTGTAAGGAAGAGTTTTTGATGCGGGCAGAGCCTTTGATGGCGGATACTGGGTGTTAATCATGAGTGACAGCAAGATGGTGTCTGTTAGGACAGCCATTTTGACCTAATAAAGTCCTGCTCTTATGACCAAAGAATTTTCTTGTGAGGACTAATAACAAAAGCGTGTACATATTTATATCCTTATCTGGTTTAGTACAGTGTTTTTTTTGAGACAGAGTCTCGCTTTGTCACCAGGCTGGAGTGCAGTGGTGCGATCTCGGCTCACTGCAACCTCCGACTCCCTGGTTCAAGCGATTCGCCTGCCTCAGCCTCCCGAGTAGCTGGGACTACAGGCACGCGCCACCATGCCCAGCTAAGTTTCGTATTTTTAGTAGAGTTGGGGTTTCACCATGTCGACCAGGATGGTCTCCATCTCCTGACCTTGTGATCCGCCCGCCTTGGCCTCCCAAAGTGCTGAGATTACAGGCGTGAGCCACTGTACATGGCCAGTACAGTCTTTATTAATTAGACAAACATCTGGTCCCTGTTGGCATAATGCCTTTTAAAATATAAGATAGAGCCTTTTTCTAAGATAAAATTACTTATGTCAAGAGCACTCTATACAGTTCCCCTTTCTGCACATTCTTTCCAGCATCTGTTTTGCCTATCTTTTATACAAACCATTTTAACTTGGGTGAGATGGTATCTCATTGTGGGTTTTTTTGTTTGTTTGTTTGTTTGAGACAGAGTCTTACTCTGTCGCCCAGGCTGGAATGCAGTGGCGCGATTTTGGCTCACTGCCTCCTCTGCCTCCCGGGTTCAAGAGATTCTCCTGCCTCAGCCTCCCAAGTAGCTGGGATTATAGACGCCTGCCACCATGCCCAGCTAATTTTCATATTTTTAGTGGAGACAGGTTTCACCATGTTGGCCAGGCTGGTCTCAAACTCCTGACCCCAAGTGATCTGCCCGCCTCCGCCTCCCAAAGTGCTGGGATTACAGGCATGAGCCACTGCACCCGGGCCTCACTGTAGTTTTGATTTATATTTCTCCAGTGATCAGTGATGTTGAGCATTTTTTTAATATACCTGTTGGCCATTTGTATGTCTTCTTTCGAGAAATGTCTTTTCGGATCTTTTGCCCATTTCTTTTTTTTGAGACAGAATCTCACTCTGTCACCTAGCCTCGAGTGCAGTGGTGCGATCTCGGCTCACTGCAACCTCCGTCTCCGTCTCCTGAGTTCAAGTGATTCTCGTGTCTCAGCCTACCAAGTAGCTGGGATTACAGGCACGGGCCACCATGCCCAGCTAATTTTTTGTATTTTTAGTAGAGATGTGGTTTTGCCATGTTGACCAGGCTGGTCTTGAACTCCTGACCTCAGATGATTCACCCACCTTGGCCTCCCAAAGTGCTGGGATTACAGATGTGAGGCACCGTGCCTGGCTTGCCCATTTCTTAAATTGGATTATTTGTCTTTCTGCAGTTGAGTTTCATCTCCTTATATATTCTGGTTATTCATCCCTTGTCAGATGGCTAGTTTGGAAATGTTTTTTCCCATTCTGTGGGTTGTCTCTTCACTTTGTTGATTGTTTCCTTGGCTGTGCAGAAGCTTTTTAGCTTGATGAAATCCCAGTTGTCTGTTTTTGCTTTAGTTGCCTGTGCTTTTGAGGTCTTACGTAAAAACCCTGTGCCCAAAAAACCTGTGCCCAAGATGAGTGTCCTGGAGCACTTCCCCAGTGTTTTCTTCTAGTAGTTTTATAGGTTTTGGGACTGGATTTCTGTCTACAGTCCTGGAGTTTTGCTGCCCTCACTTTGGTTTTTCACTCACTTCTCTGCATGGCTTTCCAATAGCAATAGCTCCCAGATAGCAAGCATGGGTGGGTGGGGGGAGTATTACATGCGTCACTTCACTTAATCCTCATGGTCTGTCTACTTATTTTCAGATGAGAAAACAGGTTTAGAGAAGTTGTGATCTACCTAAAGTCATGCACAGTTTCACTCAAGTGTCTGACTCCAGATCCGCTTGCCTCTAATCTCTCATAGTAACTTGTTGACACATTTTCTCCAGTTGTCCTGTCTTGCTTAAAAAGCTGTGGGGAAGACTCAGCCTGGCTCAGGTAGTATTAGACCAGCAGTCCCTGGTGTGGCATACTCAGTTTTGGCATTGCCTTCCTGGTATGTTTTAAAGAAAACTCATCAGAACCTTTGTATCTTTTTTATTTTCCTTGAGACAGGGTCTCGCTCTGTCACCCAGGCTGGAGTGCAGGCTCGATCACGGCTCACTGCAGCCTCAACCTCCTGGACTCAAGTGATCCTCCCACCTCAGCTTCCCAAGTAGCTGGGACTACAGGTGCACACCACCATGCCCTGCTAATTTTTTGTATTTTCTGTAGATACTGGATTTCACCATGGTGCCCAGGCTGGTCTTGAATTCCTGGGCTCAAGCAATCTACCTGCGTTGGCCTCCCAAAGTGCTGGGATTACAGACATGAACCACCACACCTGGCAGAACCTTTGTATCTTGAAAGCTGTGTAAATACAATCAGTGTGGGTATCTTAGTCCCTCCTTATCAGCGGTAGTAGTTTCACTTACCAATGGTCAGCTGCGATCTGAAACTATTAAGTGGAAAATTCATAAGAAATAGTCAATTCATGGCTGGGCATGGTGGCTCAGGCCTGTAATCCTAGCAGTTTGGGAGGCTGAGGTGGACCTGAGGATCACCTGAGGTCTGCAGTTTGAGACCAGGCTGGCCAATACGGTGAAAACCCTGTCTCTACTAAAAAAAATATACAAATTAGCCGGGCATGGTGGTGTGCGCCTGTAATCCCAACTACTTGGAAGGCTGAAGCAGGAGAATTGCTTGAACCCAGGAGGTGGAGGTTGCAATGAGCCAAAATTGTGCCACTGCACTCCAGCCTGGGTGACTGAGACTCCGTTTCAAAAAAAAAAAAAAAAAGAAATAATCAGTTCATAAGTCTTAAATTACATGGTTTTGCAGTGCTTGTGTTCATGTCACCCTTATATTTAATAATGGCCCCAAAGCAAAAGATGCTGGCAATTTGGATATTGTAAAGAGAAGCTGTAAAGTGTTTCCTTTTACTGAAAAGGTGAAAGATCTCAATTTAATATGGAAATAAAAAAATTTGTATGCTGAGGCTGCTAACGTCTATGGTAAGAACTAATCTTCTATTTGTGAAATTGTGAAGAAGGAAAAAGAAAGTTGTGCATAATTTATATAGGGTTCTGTACTATGCGAGGTTTCAGGCATCCACTGGGGGGTCTTGGATCTTATCCCCCTCTGATGGTGGGGACTACTATAGTGTTGTTTCCTATGTTCTCCTAGAGTAGTAGCCTGAGTTTGGGGAGGAAGAGAATGCCCTCCTCTCCCTCCCTTTTTTTTGTTAATCCGATTAGGTCAGCAGTGGATGTTACTTTGATTTTACTGGTGGTTCTGTTATCAGAGTCTTGGTTTGTTTTCTGTTCTTTGGAGATAGGGTCTCACTCTGCCACCCAGGCTGGTATGTAAGTGGTATGATCATAGCTCACTGCAGCCTTCAACTCCTGGGCTCAAGTGATCCTCCCACCTCACCTTCCTGAGTAGCTGAGCCCACAGCTGCATGCCATCATGTCTAATTTTCTTATTTTTTGTACGGGGGGCGGGGGGGGTCCCACTATGTTGGCCAGGCTGGTATTGAACTCGTGGCCTCAAGTGGTCCTCTTGCCTTGGCCTCCCAAAGTGCTGGGATTACAGGTATGAGCCACTGCACCCAGCCTGTTATGACAGTCTAACTGTCTATCAGGTTAATTCTAAGACAAGGGTGGAAGCCTCTGTTACGGTCTCCAGTTTATAAAAGAATGGTTCCTGCAAGATTACATCAAGGCCGGAAGGCCATTTAGGATGCTGAAAAGATAAGCCCTATGGTTATTTAGCATCACAAAGGGATAGGTGGAGTTGTTAAGAGCTGTCTTCCTTTGTGTTCTGCCTCATTAAGTCACTGGGTCCTTAGGTGTCAGGGAATATAGATTGAACGAACAGGTGTGTTTCACTTTAGGAGCAAGCCTGGGGGAAAAGGGGTACCAGTGACATTTTATGTAAATGGACCCTTTGGAGTAATGCAGCAGGTTATTGTACAATTTCTTTTTGACTTTTATATCAAGCCACCTGATTTTTTGTCTTCTTTTGCTTTCCAAAGTACACAGATGCTCCTCAACTTTCAATGGCATTATGTCTAAATAAAACCATTCTAAGTTGAAAATATTGTTAAATTGAAATTACATTTAATACACCTAAGATACCAAACGTCATAGTTTAGCCTAGCCTCCTTTAAACATGCTCAGAACACTTATGTCAGGGTACAGTTGGGCAAAATTATCTAACACAAAGATTATTGTTATTATTTTTTGTAGAGGTGGGGTCTCAAACACCTGCCCTCAAGCAATCCTCCTACCTCCACCACCCGAAATATTGGGTTTACAGTTGTGAGTCACTGCACCTGGCCTATTTTATTTTATTTTAAAATTTTATTTATTTAATTAATTAATTTTTTTGAGACAGGGTTTCACTCCTGTCACCCAGGCTGGAGTGCAGTGGCGCGATCTCAGCTCAGTGCAACCTCTGCCTCCTGGGCTCGAGCAATTCTCCTGCTTCAGCCTCCTGAGTAGCTGGAACTACAGGCGCCTGCCACCACACCCGGCTAATTTTTGTATTTTTAGTGGACACGGGGTTTGACTGTGTTGGCCAGGCTGGTCTTGAACTCCTGATCTCAGGTGATCTACCTGCCTTGACCCCCCAGAGTTCTGGGATTATAGGTGTGAGCCACTGCACCTGGCCACCTGGCCTATTTTATAATAAGGTGTTAAATATCTCATGTAATTACTTGAATACTGTACTGAAGGTGAAAACCAGAATGGTTATGTGAGGACTTGGAGAAGTAAGTGTCTACTGATTGCTTTCACAGAAAGTCTAAACATTGTTAAATAGAAGCATTGTTAAATTGAGGACTGTATATATGAGTTTTTTTTTTTGAAACGGAGTCTTGCACTGTTGCCCAGGCTGGAGTGCAGTGGTGCAATCTTGGTTCACTGCAACCTCTGCCTCCCGGGCTCAAGCGATTCTCCTGCCTCAGCCTCCCGAGTAGCTGAGAATACAGGTGCCCGCCACCACGCCTGGCTAATTTTTTGTATTTTTAGTAGAGACGGAGTTTCACTATGTTGGCCAGGCTGGTCTTGAACTCCTGACCTCATGATCTGCCCGTCTTGTCCTCCCAAAGTGCGGGACTACAGGAGTGAACCCCCGCGCCTGGCCCCCTGTATATATGAAATTTAAATGTAGTGTTGATTGTATCAGTACATTTTTGGTTTCAGTCTTAATTTAAAAGAATTGGACAAATGTAAGCTTTTATGAGCCCCCCAGCTCAATTTTATTGCTTTTTACTTATTTGTAACCTTCAGATAATTTGTTTTTCCCTGTAGTTTATGGCTGTCAGATAAAAAACTGATCTGGTGACAATGATCTGGTGAAAAGCTCAGCCCAGAAGAACTATAGGTCTGGGCTGTTAGGACTTTTAATTTTTGGAGAGCATGTTTGCCCTGTTTTTTTTTTTTTCTTTTCTTTTGCTGTTGTAATAGGCCCATCATTTACTTTTTAATTTTAAGTCTTGTGCCTTGAAACTCACCTTTGTTGTTGGACACTTTCTTTTTGAGGTCGTGATGTCTCGGGAGTCGGATGTTGAGGCTCAGCAGTCTCATGGCAGCAGTGCCTGTTCACAGCCCCATGGCAGCGTTACCCAGTCCCAAGGCTCCTCCTCACAGTCCCAGGGCATATCCAGCTCCTCTACCAGCACGATGCCAAACTCCAGCCAGTCCTCTCACTCCAGCTCTGGGACACTGAGCTCCTTAGAGACAGTGTCCACTCAGGAACTCTATTCTATTCCTGAGGACCAAGAACCTGAGGACCAAGAACCTGAGGAGCCTACCCCTGCCCCCTGGGCTCGATTATGGGCCCTTCAGGATGGATTTGCCAATCTTGGTAAGACCCTTTGTTGTATAGTATCACGTTTTGTTCAGAAAAACACTTACAGAAAGTTGTATTACCAGGTGGAAGGTTCTGATTGGAGTTGTCCAGGTTTTTGGCACGTTGAACAAATAATTGAACATCATGCATGAACAAGCAATGAAAGCATAGATTTATTGAAGTGGAAGGCAATAGAAGCTAAAGTACATGTCACAGGATGGGAGCAGGCCTGAGCAAGTGGCTGCAGAGCCCTTGTAGCAAAGTCTTCTGGGGTTCAAGTACCCTCTAGAGGTCTCCCACTGTTTACATCCTATGTAAATGAAGTGCTGGCTCACAGCCCATTAGAGGCCAAAGTGAATTGGAGCTCGGCCATTCCAAGACTGGTGTGGATTGACGCCTTATGCAAATGAAGGTCCTAGAATGGACGGATCATAGGCCAGAGTGCAAATTCTTCCTTTTTTGTTTAGTTTCAGGAATTTTTTTTTTTTTTTTTTTGGCAACGGAGTCTTGCTCTGTCGCACAGACAAGTGCAGTGACGCCATCTCGGCTCGGCTCACTGCAGCCTCTGACTCCTGGGTTCAAGCGATTCTCCTGTCTCAGATTCCTGAGTAGCTGGGATTACAGACACACACCACCACACCTGGCTAATTTTTGTATTTTTAGTAGAGACGGGGTTTCACCACGTTGGCCAGGCTGGTCTCGAACTCCTGGCCTCAAGTGATCCTCCTGCTTCGGCCTCCCAAAGTGTTGGGATTACAGGCATGAGCAACCGTGCCCATCTATTCCAGGAAGTTTGCGTGAATTGGCCATAGATTCCCTGCCTTCAGACCCTATTTTCCTGCCTTAGTTAGTTGCAGCAGAATGCTTGAGCCACTCTTAGAATAATTCTGGAGTTTGAATGTGATAAAAGGTAAAACCAAAGAGGCAGTATTGGGTGTTGCCCTGGCTGTTACCTGCTGTGGATTCTGTTCATTTACTCTTTCAACAAATAATAATTGGACATTTACAATGTGCTGTCCATCCAAAGATCTGAAGGTAGCTTTGGACCCTCTTCCTAGAAAAATGCAGATTCACTCAAACTTGCAAACATTATCCCCTAATCACAAAAGCTTCACTAGTTAACCTCTGCTGTGGTTTGCCACAGCTTCAGAGAATCAGAGCTGTTCAGAATAGAGATGGCCATTTGTTGACTACTTGTTACTTGTTTTTGTCTCAAAATAGCCAACCTTGTGATTTAAACATGTTGACCCTTTCTGACACCTCCTGGTTCCAATAGTAAGTTTTGCTCTGCATATGTTTAAAATACACATGTGTGTATTTTAACATTGCCAGGCATGGTGGCTCACGCCTGTAATCCCAGCACTTTGGGAGGCCAAAGCGGGAGGATCACTTGAGGCCAGGAGTTCGAAACCAGCTTGGGCAACATGGCAAAACCCTGTCTCTCCTGAAAATACAAAAATTAGCCAGGTGTGGTGGCGCATGTCTGCAATCCCAGCTACTCAGGAGGATGAGACATGAGAATTGCTTGAACCTGGGAGGCAGAGGTTGCAATGAGCCAGGATTGCACCACTGCACTCCGGCCAAAAAAAATAGTGTTTTTTTTCCTTTCGCTTACATTGCAATGACCTCTTTAATAAACAAATTTGAACTTGGCATTAACAGGATAGAATATGTTAATATAAAGAAATGAAGGACTGATGTATCATTTTGTGTTTTGTCACTCACCATCCTTGTTTTATTTCATGTCTAACTTTGATATCTTGAAAAAACTATAAAAAATGGAGGAATATACCTGCATTCCACATATACAACTTTAAATTTATAAGTAGACACTCGAAGCTATTTTTAACTGATTTAAAATATATTTTTCAGACCGGGCATTGTGGCTCATGCCTGTAATCCCAGCACGTTGAGAGACCAAGGCAGGTGGATCACCTGAGGTCAGGAGTTTGAGGCCATCCTGGCCAACATGGGGAAACCCTGTCTCTGTTAAAAATACAAAAATTAGGCCAGGCGTGGTGGCTCATGCCTGTAATCCCAGCACTTTGGGAGGCCGAGATGGGCGGATCACCTGAGATCGGGAGTTCGAGACCAGCCTGACCAACATGGAGAAACCCTGTCTCTACTAAAAATACAAAATTAGCTGGGCATGGTGGCGGGCTCCTGTAATCCCAGCTACTCAGGAGGCTGAGGCAGGAGAATCGGTTGAACCTGGGAGGCAGAGGTTGCAGTGAACCGAGATCTCGCCATTGCACTCCAGCCTGGGCAACAAGAGCGAAACTCCATCTCAAAAAAAAAAGAAAAAAAAATTTGCGGGGCGTTGTGGCAGGCATCTGTAATCCCACCCACACAGGAGGCTGAGACAGGAGAATTGCTGGAACTTGGGAGGTGGAGGTTGCAGTGAGCTGAGATTGCGCTACTGCAGTCCCGCCTGGGTGACAGAGCGAGATTCCGTCTCCAAAAAATAAACAAATAAATAAAATACAATATATTTTTTCAGATAGGCCTATAGGTTTAGATGAGTGAGAAATAGAAATGGTGAGAAAGGGCTAAATGGGATACATCACCTTTAAAAGTAAGAAAACAAAGAGGCTGGGTGCAGGGGCTCTCAACTGTAATCCCAGCTCTTAGAGCAGCAGAGGTGGGAGGATAGCTTGAACCCAGGAGTTTGAGACCTGCTGGGCAATATAGCGAGACCCCATTCTCCACAAAAAGGAAAAACAAAAAAAGACAAGTAAACAAAGATCCTGATAGGATGACCAGCATAAAGTAGGTGCTGAATAAATAGAGACTGTTTATCATTATTATTATTATTATTATTTGAGACGGAGTCTCACTCTGTCACCCAGGCTGGAGTGCAGTGGTACGATCTTGGCTCACTGCAACCTCAATCTCCTGGGTTGAAGCCATTCTCCTGCCTCAGCCACCTGAGTAGCTGGGATTACAGGTGCCCACCACCGTGGCTAAGTTCTGTATTTTTTAGTAGGGACGGGTTGTCATCATATTGGCCAGGCTGGTTTCAAACTCCTGACCTCAGGTGATCTGCCCGCCTTGGCCTCCCAAAGTGGTGGGATTACAGGCGCGAGCCACCACGTCTGGCCGAGGCTGTTTATTATTATTATTTGTTAATTATTTATACCTATGTTTTCTTTTAAAATTTTACAGTTTTAATTCCTTTTTTTAAATTTTTGTTTGTTTGTTTGTTTGTTTATTTTGAGACAGGATCTCACTCTGTCATCCAGGCTGGAGTGCAGTGGCACAATCTCAGCTCACTTCAGCCTCTGCCTCCCAGGCTCAAGCAATTCTCCCACTTCAGCCTCCTGAGTAGCTGGGACCACAGATGTGCACCACCACTCCCAGCTAACTTTTTGTATTCTTGGTGGAGATGGGGTTTCATCATGTTGCAGTCTGGTCTCAAACTCCTGAGCTCAAGCAATACATCCATCTTGGCTTCCCAAAGTGTTAGGATTACAGGCATAAGCCACAGTGCCTGGCCTAGTTTTAGCTCTTATGTTTAATTAAGGTCCTTTATTCATTTTAAGTTTTATTTATTTATTTATTGAGACGGAGCCTTGCTCTGTCACCAGGCTGGATTGCAATGTCATGATCTCGGCTCACCGCAACCTCCTCCTCCCGGTTTCAAGCGATTCTCCTGCCTCAGCCTCCCAAGTAGCTGGGATTACATGCTTATGCCACCATGCCTGGCTAATTTTTGTATTTTTAGTAGAGATGGGGTTTCACCATGTTGGCCAGGCTGGTCTCGAACTCCTGCCCTCGGGTGATCCACCCGCCTCGGCCTCCCAAAGTGCTGGGATTACAGGCATGAGCCACCGTGGCTGGCCTAACTTTTTTATTTTTATTTTTTGTAGAGACAGAGTCTGGCCATGTTACCCAATCTGATCTTGAACTCCTGCTGTCATCTGATCCTCCTGCCTCAGCCTCCCAAAGTGCTGGGATAAGAGGTGTGAGGCACCATCCCCGGCCAGTTTGCAGTCTAAGTATGATGTTAGCTGTGGGTCTTTCCCTTTCCCTTTCTCTTTCCCTTTTCCTTTTCCTTTCCCCTTTCCCCTTTCTTTTTTCCTTTCCTTTCCTTTCCCTTCTGCTTTCCTTTCCCTTCCGCTTTCCTTTCCTTTCCCTTCCGCTTTCCTTTCCTCCCCTCCCCTCCTCTCCTCTCCTCTTTTCTTTCCTCTTCTCTCTCCTCTTCTCTCTTCCTCTCTCCTTTCTCCTCTGATATCTGAAGACTAAGCTGTGGATGTTTCATAAAAGTTCTTTCTGGGGTGGGTGCAGTGGCTCATGCCTGTAATCCAAGCACTTTGGGAGGCTGAGGTGGGCGGATCACAAGGTCAGGAGATCGAGACCATCCTGGCCAACATGGTGAAACCCCGTCTCTACTAAAAATACAAAAACAAAATTAGCCGGGCGTGGTGGCAGGAGCCTGTAGTTCCAGCTAGTTGGTGATAGAGTGAGACTCTGACTCAAAAGAAAAAAAAAATGCTTTCTGGCTGGTTGCTCTGACTCTTTCACCCTATAATCTCAGTGCTTTGGGAGCCTATGGCAGGAGAAGTGCTTAAGGCCACGAGTTGGAGACTGCAGCAAGCTATGATTGCAGGCCACAGAGCAAGACTTTGCCTCTAAATTAAAAATAAATAGATAATAAATAAAATAAAAGCTCTTTATTAGGTTGAAGGAGTTTACTCCTATTCCTAGTTTTCTGAGTATTTTTTGTTATAAAAGGGTGTTGCATTTTGCCAAAATTTTTTTCTGTGTCTATTTTCCTATATTCTATTGTTATCGTGTATTATATTAATTGGTTTTCAGATGTTAAACCAACCAAGCTTTCCTGGGTTAATTCTTTTTTTTTTTTTTTTTTTTTTTTTGAGATGGAGTCTCGCTGTCGCCCAGGCTGGAGTGCAGTGGCGTGATCTCGGCTCACTGCAGGGTCTGCCCCCTGGGGTTCACGCCATTCTCTTGCCTCAGCCTCCCGAGTAGCTGGGACTACAGGCGCCCGCCACCTCGCCCGGCTAATTTTTTGTATTTTTAGTAGAGACGGGGTTTCACCGTGTTAGCCAGGATGGTCTCCATCTCCTGACCTCGTGATCGCCCGCCTCGGCCTCCCAAAGTGCTGGGAATACAGATGTGAGCCACCGCGCCTGGCGTCCTGGGTTAATTCTTGTTTGGTCATTTGTAATCTTTTTTATGTGTTGCTGGATTTAGTTTGCTACTGTTTTGTTGAGGATTTTTATATCTATATTCACAAGGGATATTGGTTTGTGGTTTTACTGTGATGTCTCTGTCTGGTTTTGGTATGCTGGCCTCATAGATGAGTTGACAGTGTTCCGTTCCGAATTTCTTCGAAAAGTTTGAGAATAATTGGTATTAGTTCTTTACATATTTGATAGAATTTAAAATGAAGCCAGCCGTGTGTTTCTTTTTTCTTTTTTTTGAGACAGGGTCTCACTCTTACCCACGCTGGAGTGTTACCCACTATCACGTTTCACTGCAGGCTTGACCTCCCAGGCTCAACTCCTACCTCAGCCTCCTGAGTAGCTGGGACCTCAGGCATGTGCCACCATGTGTGGCTAATTTTTTTATTTTGATAGAGATGGGGTGTCCCTATGTTGCTCAAGCTAAAGTGAGGCAATCTGGGACTGCACTTTTCTTTGTAGGGATATTTTGATTACTCATTCAGTCTTTTGTTTTGTTTTGTTTTTTTGGAGACAGAGTCTCTCTCTCTGTCACCCAGGCTGGAGTGCAGTGGCACAATATTGGCTCACTGCAGCCTCTGCCTCACAGGTTCAAACGATTCTTGTGCCTCAGCCTCCAGAGTAGCTGGGACTACAGGGGCGCGCCACCACACCTGGCTAAATTTTTTTTTGTTTTGTTTTTAGTAGAGACGGGATTTTGCCATGTTGCACAGGCTGGTCTCAATCTCCTGAAGTCAAGCAATCCGCCTGCCTTGGCCTCCCAATGTGCTAGGATTATCATTCAGTCTTTTCACTTCTTATGGGTATATTCAGATTTTCTGTTTCTTCTTGTGTTAGTTTTGGTAGTTTGTATCTTTCTAGGAGTTTGTCCATTTCACCTATGTCATCTAATACTGTCACACAATTGTTCAATTATTCTTTTTAAATCATTTTTATTTCTGTCAGATCAGTAGTAATTATCTCTCTCATTCTAATTTTAGTAATTTGAGTCTTGTCTCTTTTTTTCTTGTTCAGTCTGTCTAAGGTTTGCCAACTTGTTGATCTTTTTAACTAACTAAATTTGGATTTGTTAATTTTCTTTTTCTTTCTAGAGATAGGGTCTCACTCTCACTCTGGAGTGAGTGGTGCAACCACAGCTTAGTGCAGCCTCGACCTTCAGGCTCAAGTGATCCTCCTTCCTTGGCCTCCCAAAGTACTGGGATTACAGGTGTGAGCCATCGTGCCCAGCCCATATGTAATTTTGATAGATCTTGCTAAATTGTCCTCCCTAGACAATTATAGACAATGTGTGTATAAATTATATTCCCAATGGCAATGTATGAGAGTACCCGCTTTTTCATACCTCTTGCCAGCACAGGGTGATATGAAACTTTTGGATTTTTGCCAATCTAATAGGTAAAACATGAAATCTTAATGTGTTTTTGATTTCTGAATTTTCTTATATTGGGTTAGCTTGGCCACCTTTCATATGTTTGAGCCAGCTGTATTTCTGTTTCTTGTAAATTATCTTTTCATATCCTTTACCTATTTTTCTACTGGACTGTTTAGCGTTTTCACTGATTTATAGGAACCTAACATTTATTAGGGAAATTATTCCTTTTCCTGATAGGAGTTGCTAGTATTTTCCCTAGTCTGCCTTGCAATGAACATTTAATTACCTGCCATGTGCAATATCCCAAGTGCTGGAGTTGTACTGTTAAACAAGAGGTCTCCAGCTGCCCTCCTGGAGGTTATGTTCTAATGCAGGGAGGTGGGGAGAAAATATACAAATAAGCAAGGTAATTTCCAGCCGTGGCCCATACCCAAAAAGATATAAAACAGGATAACATTATGATAACAGGTGAGTAATGTTTATATAACAAGCTGAGCGGGAGGCCGGGTGTGGTGGCGCATGCCTGTTATCCCAGCACTTTGGGAGGCCGAGGCGGGCGGATCACAAGTTCAGGAGATCGAGACCATCCTGTCTAACATGGCGAAACCCCGTCTCTACTAAAATTACAAAAAATTAGCTGGGCATGGTGGCACGTGCCTGTAGTCCCAGCCACTCGGGAGGCTGAGGCAGGAGAATCGCTTGAACCTGGGAGGTGGAGGTTGCAGTGAGCCGAGATCGCGCCACCGCACTCCAGCCTGGGCGACAGAGCGAGACTCCATCTCAAAGAAAGAAAGCTGAGTGGGAGATGATAGTAGAGTCCTAAAGGCAGATAGTGTTGTGTAGATAGTATCTGTTATACAAAAGGCAAGGTGGAATGAGCCATTTGTGTAGTTGGGGAAGAAGTGCTAAGACCACAAGGCAGATTGAACCCAGCATTCTTGGGGGCAGTGAAAGGAGGCCAGTGGTGCTGGGTGTCATGAGCAAGGGGAGAGGGGTATGAGGTGGGGCTGGAATGGTGGCAGACGCCAGACCCTGAGCATCTAGTAGGCCATGAGGAAGAGTGCAGATTTTATGCTAAGTGTCATGGAAAACCTCAGGAAGGTAATAAGCAGGAAATTACTGTATTGCAAGTAATTTTCCAAGTCATTAAAAATTACTCGAGAACTTTTAATGACTATTTGTTATTTCACGGTTTTATATATATATGTATGTGTATGTGTGTGTTTGTGTATATAAATACATATATTAATAGATTATAATATATATTATATATTATTATATATTTAGATATAATTACTATATTATAAATATATAATATATGTTATATTGTGTATAAATATATAATTATATTTAAGACAACTTATAAAATAAATTTATATAACATGTATAATAAATACAAATTATATATATTATATATAATAAATATAAAATAAATATATAATATATATTAAATATTTGTTTATTTATTTTTTTGAGACAGGGTCTTGCTCTGTTGCCCAGGTTGGAGTACAGTGGCAGGATCACAGCCCATTGTAGCATCAGCTTATCTTGCTCAAGTGATCCTCCTCCTTCAGCCTCCTGAGTAGCTGGACTACAGGCATGCACCACCACATCTGGTTAATTGTTTTTTGTTTTTTTTCAGACAGAGTCTTGCTTTGTCGTCCAGGCTGGAGTGCAGTGGCGCAATCTTGGCTCACTGCATCCTCCACCTCCCAGGTTCAAGCAATTCTCTGCCTCAGCTTCCCGAGTAACTGGGATTACAGGCACCCGCCACCACGCCCAGCTAATTTTTGTATTTTTTAGTAGAGACAGGGTTTCACCATCTTGGCCAGGCTGGTCTTGAACTCCTGACCTCGTGATCCATTCGTCTCAGCCTCCCAAAGTGCTGGGATTACAGGCATGAGCCACCACACCTGGCCATTTTTTTTTTTTTGAAACTGGGTCTCACTCTGTCGCCCAGGCTAGTGTGCAGTGGCGCAGTCTCAGCTCACTGCAGCCTCGACCTCCTGGGCTCAAGCGATCCTCCCACCTCAGCCTCCTGAGTAGCTGAGACCACAGGGACCCACCACCACACCCTGCTGATTTTTTATTTTTTGTAGAGATAGGGTTTCACCATGTTGCCCAGACTAATTTTTAAATTCTTGGTAGAGATGGGTGCCCCCTATGTTGCCCAGGCTGGTCATGAGCTCCTGGGGTCAAGTGATCCTCCTGCCTTAGCCTTCCAAAGGGCTGAGATTACAGGTGTGAGCCACTGTGCCTGGCCATGTGGTTATAGATAAACTGCCATTTGTTAAACTCATTGGTAATGTTGTTTTTTCTCTCCTAATTTTTAATCTTGTAAAATCTTGATAAGCAGATTGATAATTCTGATTGCCTTCTTAGGCTATTTTCCTACAATTAGCATTTATGAGCAATTTTTAAACGTTTGATACATGAAATTCAACAGCCCTCTGATGCATGCTTTTATATTACAGAATGTGTGAATGACAACTACTGGTTTGGGAGGGACAAAAGCTGTGAATATTGCTTTGATGAACCACTGCTGAAAAGAACAGATAAATACCGAACATACAGCAAGAAACACTTTCGGATTTTCAGGGTAGGTAATGAATACCCATGTATCTAGGAGAGCTGGTAATTTGGTCATTGTTTTTAGATATTTTCCCACTATAAATCTCTGCTATTCAAAGTCTGAAACAAAATGTTCTCTATTTTAGGAAGTGGGTCCTAAAAACTCTTACATTGCATACATAGAAGATCACAGTGGCAATGGAACCTTTGTAAATACAGAGCTTGTAGGGAAAGGAAAACGCCGTCCTTTGAATAACAATTCTGAAATTGCACTGTCACTAAGCAGAAATAAAGGTAATATTATTATCTTATGGTTACTGGAATTTTTTTTTTCCACTCTCTCATAGGAGGAAAATTTGTCCTGTCCTTACAGAATATGGTTTAAGTGAGTAAAGATGAGTAAGTTGCTGGGCGTGGTGGCTCACACCTGTAATCCCAGCACTTTGGGAGGCTGAGGCGGATGGATCACCTGAGGTCAGGAGTTCGAGACCAGCCTGACCCACATGGAGAAACCCTGTCTCTACTAAAAATACAAAATAAGCCGGGCATGGTGGTGCATGCCTGTAATCCCAGCTATTCGGGAGGCTGAGGCAGGAGAATCGCTTGAACCCGGGAGGCAGAGGTTGCAGTGAGCCAAGATCGTGCCATTGCACTCTAGCCTGGGCAACAAGAGTGAAACTCTGTCTCAAAACAAAAAAAAAGATGAGTAAGTTAGCACTCAAGATTCAACTTTGCCGTCCTAGTTGCATTGTAAAATTATGAAAAAGTTCCATCCAGACAGATTTTTAAGGTTTTAAGGTTTAATTGGTTTTATGTAATGCCATATACTGTTTTTTTTGTTTTGTTTTGTTTTGTTTTTTTTTAGACGGAGTCTTGCACTGTCACCTGGGCTGGAGTGCAGTGGTGCAATCTCGGCTCACCGCAACCTCTGCCTCCCAGTTTCAAGCGATTCTCCTTGCCTCAGCCTCCCAAGTAGCTGGGATTACAGGCTCCTGCCACCACACCCATCTAATTTTTTTGTACTTTTAGTAGAGACGGGGTTTCACTGTGTTGGCCAGGCTGGTCTTGAACTCCTGACCTCGTGATCTGCCTGCTTCAGCCTCCCAAAGTGCTGGGATTACAGGCGTGAGCCCCCGCCTGGCCCATATACTGTTAATTGAATTATCATGGTGATTAAAATAAGTTATAGTTCATTGATTGATTCAGTTTATACCACATCAGTCTTAGATATCTATGAATTGTTGTTTCAGGCCATTAATTCATTTTTCCTTCCTCTTCACCTCATTCTTTCCTTTCTTCATTTTTTCCATTCATTTTTTTCTTTCTTTCTTTTTCGAGACATGGTCTCACTCTGTCTCCCAGGCTGGAGTTCAGTGGCACTGCAACCTCTGCCTCCCAGGCTCAAGTGATCCTCCCACCTTAGCCTCCTGAGTAGCTGTGACCACAGACACATGCCACCACGCCTGGCTAATTTTTTGTATTTTTGGTAGAGACGGGGTTTTACCATGTTGGCCAGACTGGTCTTAGACTTCTGAGCTCAAGCAGTCAGTCTGCCTGCCTTGGCCTCCCAAAGTGCTGGGATTACAGGTGGGAGCCACCATGTCCAGCCCTATTCATTTATTTCTGTATACATTTATTGAGCTCCTTTTTTTTTTTTTTCTTTTTTTTTCCTTGTGACGGAGCCTTGCTCTGTCGCCCAGGCTGGAGTGCAGTGGCGCGATCTCGGCTCACTGCAAGCTCCGCCTCCCGGGTTCACGCCATTCTCCTGCCTCAGCCTCCCCAGTAGCTGGGACTACAGGCGCCCGCCACCACGCCCACCTAATTTTTTGTATTTTTAGTAGAGACGGGGTTTCACTGTTTTAGCCAGGATGGTCTCGATCTCCTGACCTCGTGATCCACCCGCCTCGGCCTCCCAAAGTGCTGGGATTACAGGCGTGAGCCACCGCGCCCGGCCTATTGAGCTCTTTTTATATGCCAGGTACTAGGCTGTGAGTGCTTCTGTAAGAGGCTCACTTTAGAGCTTCTACCTTTGTAAATACTACAAGGTTATCGTGCACAAGTGGAGATGTTTATCAGCCTCATCAGGTAGCATTTTATAAGCATCCATTTCTGAAACTATGAAAATAACATCTAAAATGAACAACTGTTTTTCTGGGTAATATCTAGAAAGGATACCTGACAAAAACAACCAATAGAGTTAAAAGTAGCTCAGCGTGATTAGACAGGAGGAATACAATTTTTCTTTAGTTAAAGAAACCATAGACGTTCCCAAACTTATCTGAGAGTCGAATGACTTGGAGGGTGTCTATGTGTGTGCGACACATTTTGAAAATAAAGGTTCATATAAGCACTCTTCTCCAGATTCTGGTAGGGATTTTAAAAATCATGCCTCTAGGGGCTGCGGCATGAGTCTGTAGTCCCTGCTACTCAGAAAGGTGAGGCTAGAGGATCCCTTGAGCCCAGGATTTTAAGGCTACAGTGAGCTATGATTGTGCCTGTAAATAGCCACTGCCCTCCAGCTCGGGCAACATGGTGAGACCCCATCTAACCAAACAAAATAAAGTCATGCCTAAGGGATTTTCATGCAAGTCAGTCTTCAGTCTGGTATCTTGGAACTATGTCTATGTTGGGCATCCTAAAGTACATTTTATGATTAACTTAGTTTTCCCTGTTTCTATTTTGACTATTTTGTTTTCTTTTCTTTTCTTTTCTTTTTTTTTTTTTTTTTTTTGAGACGGAGTCTGGCTCTATCGCCCAGGCTGGAGTGCAGTGGCATGATCTCGGCCCACTGCAAGCTCCGCCTCCTGGGTTCACGCCATTCTCCTGCCTCAGCCTCCCAAGTAGTTGGGACTATAGGCGCCCGCCACTGCGCCCGGCTAATTTTTTGTATTTTTAGTAGAGACGGGGTTTCACCGTGTTAGCCAGGATGGTCTCCATCTCCTGACCTCGTGATCCTTCCGCCTCGGCCTTCCAAAGTGCTGGGATTACAGGCGTGAGCCACCGCGCCCGGCGACCATTTTGTTTTCTATCTGACAGTTATAGTCAGGGCAGCTGCTTTAGGTTTTGCTGTTTGTGGGTACCTAGGGGAGGAGGCAACTGGGTGCTGAAATTTGGTCTGTCCTCTCCTTGACAAGCTGTGTGCCACCTTCTCATTGGTCTACTCAAAGGGCACTTTTCTTCCTCTTTTAAAAAAATTAAATAAACATTAAAAAATTTATTTAATAGATAAATAAAAATTATAGGCTGGCGTGGTAGCTCATGCCTGTAATCTCAGCACTTTGGGAGGCCAAGACAGGAAGATTGCTTGAGTCCAGGAATTCGAGACCAGCTTGGGCAACATAGTGAGACCCCATCTCTGCCAAACATAAAAAAATTAGCTGGGCATGCTGCTGTGTTCCTGTAGTCCCAGCTACTTGGGAGTCTGAGGTGGGAGGATTGCTTGAGCCTGGGAGGTCGAGGCTACAGTGAGCCATGATTGCACCACTGTACTCTTCCCTGGGCAAGAGAGTAAGAACGTGTCTCAAAAAAATTATATGTATTTATCATGTACAACATGTTTTCAAATATGTATACATTGTAGAATGACTAATTTGAGCTAACATGCATTACCTCACATATTTATCTTTTTTTTTTTAATAGAGAAAATACTTAAAATCTACTCTCTCAGCTGATTTTCAAAAATACGGCGGGGCGCGGTGGCTCACGTCTTTAATCCCAGCACTTTGGGAGGCCGAGGCTGGCAGATCACCTGAGGTCAGGAGTTCGAGACCAGCCTGGTCAACGTGGTGAAACTCTGTCTCTATTAAAAATACAAAAATTAGCCGGGCATGATGGCAGGCGCCTGTAATCCCAGCTACTCAGGGGTCTGAGGCAGGAGAATTGCTTGAATCCAGGAGGTGGAGGTTGCAGTGAGCCAAGATTGCACCATTGCACTCTAGCCTGGGGTACAAGAGCGAGACTTCGTCTCAAAAAAAAAAAAAAAAAAAAAACCCAAACAAACAACAAACAAAAAACAGTACATTGTTGTTAACTACAATCACCATGTTGTACAATAAATCTCTGTTTTCTCTAATTTGAACAAAGATGTCATATAGGCTAAAGGTGACCCTTATTAAAGTAGGTCAGACTGGTCCTCTGCAGGCTGCATTTGGCCTATAGATATTTTATTAGGCATTTACTGATACTTACAGTGGTAATGTGAACATCCAGATGTCTTAGAGAAGTTGTAATATGTGGCCACAGTGAGTCTATAGTCCCACAACCGGAGGATCTGTAGGCACTGAGTAGAGGCTGCCTCCTTTAGATGGGAGGTGTGTTTTCTCTCCCCACTTCTCCATGGTGTCTTAAACTCAACACAGCCTGACCCTGTTACATTACCTTCCTGACTTGTGTGGACAATGGCGTTTGAGCCCTTGAAGTAAACCTTGACAGGAGAAATACATCATGAGAGCCAATCAAATTTCTACATTCTCAGATGCCACTGGAACATACAGCGTTATGAATAGCTACAAGCATAGAGGGACACTTGTGCCTGGGTGGCCAGCAGGTGTCTGTCACCAGACAAGTGCCTGCCTCTTGTGTACCAGCCTGAATGAAATATACTCAGGTGGCTCAGATTTGTGCCAGAGACTGGATCCTTAGGTTATTCTAGGGAGGTCAAAACCTGTCACCTGAGATCTGAGAAACTCAAGGGTCTTAACAAATTTCACCTTTCAAGATGGCATAGGCAATTGCAAATTTATCATTGATGACTTTGTAGAATTGAAATATTTGATAATTTATCACAGGCTTGGCCCACGTGGGTGGTTAAATTATTAAATCATCAGCACTGTCCTGGGTTATAGAATTTAAAAAGTAGTTGTTTTACTTTTTTTTTTTTTGGCTGGGCACATTGGCTAACTCCTGTAATCCCAGCACTTTGGGATGCCAAGGTGGGTGGATCACCTGAGGTCAGGAGTTCGAGATCAGCCTGGCCAACATGGTAAAATCCCGTCTCTACTAAAAATACAAAACTTAGCCGGGCATGGTGCTGTTCGCCTGTAATCCCAGCTACTCAGGAGGCTGAGGCACAAAAATTGCTTGAACCTGGGAGGTGGAGGTTGCAGTGAGCTGAGGTCATGCCACTGCACTCCAGCCTGGGCAACAGAGTGAAACTCTCTCAAAAAAAAAAAAAAAAAATTACTTTTTTTAAGATACAGCCCAAATAATGGAGAAAAAAGGGAATTTGTTTAGAAAATGTTATTTACCTAGCTTTACAAATATGTTGAATATGGTTTGCACTATAAAATACTTAATACCGGATATATAAAGGTATAAATGGCTGAGAGATGATAATACCCGTATGGTGATACTGATGGCCTAATTTTCATTGGGATATTTACTTGCCTAGACCATTTTTTCTAGGCTCAGACTGATGGATTGCTTTTTGATTCTGGGCCTGTTGTAAATCTGCATGGGCATTTTATATTAGTGTAATTGATTGATATTCTGAGGTCAAGGAATATAAATAATGTTGTGTTACGGATTTTTTGCACTAGTTTCAGAGTGATGCTTATAGTTCCATTGAAGCATGAAATTTGACTATCATTTATTTCTCAAGGGCTTTACAATATGTATTAGCCCACTAATACCTATTATATTACATACATACTAATTTCCTTAAGGTTACATGTTAAATGTAGTTAAAAACAGTTCTTATATTCCATATGATGAATAAATTTTAGAATCAGTGATCGCCTCTTGTGAATAAATTAATGAAACCCATTTCTACTCTTTTCTTCCTTAGTTTTTGTCTTTTTTGATCTGACTGTAGATGATCAGTCAGTTTATCCTAAGGCATTAAGAGATGAATACATCATGTCAAAAACTCTTGGAAGGTAAATTATTTTCTTATATAAATGCACTTAATTTTTTCACTATACATTTGTGATTGGTGGTTTCTCATTTCTGATTTTATAACACTCATTATGTATTGATAACATTTGTATGGTATCTATTTGTGTATTATTTTTTATTTTTATTTTTGTGTGTTATTTCACACAGTCATTTTAATTTATTTTTATTTTATTTCTTTGTGAGACAGGGTGTTGCTCTGTTACCCAGGCTGGAGGGTAGTGGCACGATCAGAGCTCACTGTGGCCTTGATCTCCCAGGTCAAGGGAGATCAGGCATGCAGCACCATGCACAACTAATGTGTGTTTTTGTTTTTTAGAGTTGGGGTTGCGCTGTGTTGCCAGGGCTGGTCTTGAACTCCTGGGCTCAACCCATCCTCCTGCCTTAGCCTCCCAAAGTGCTGAGATTAGTAGCGTGAGCCACCATGCCCAGCCAAATATTTCTTTTTTTATTTCCTGTGTGTGTGTGTGTGTGTGTGTGTGTGTGTGTGTGTGTTAGTGTCAGAGTCTTGCTCTGTTGCACAGGCTGGAGTGCAGTGGTACGATCTTGACTCACTGCAACCTCCACTTCCAGGGCTCAAGTGATCCTCCCACCTTAGCCTCCCAAGTAGCTGGGACTATGGGCTTGAACCACCGTGCCTGGCTAATTTTTGTATTTTGTGTAGAGATGGGGTATTACCATGTTGCCCAGGCTGGTCTTGAACTCCTAAGCTCAAGCAATCCACCCATCTCGGCCTCCCAAAGTGCTAGGATTACAGGCATGAGCCACTGTGCCTGGCCATGTGTATAGTATTTCATTGTGTATATATACACCACATTTACTTTGTCCGTTCATTCATTTATGGACACTTTGGTTGCTTCCCTATCTTGGCTATTGTGAATAATGCTGAAATGAACATGGGAGTGCAGATATCTCTTCAACATACTGATTTAAATTTTTTTTTGGATATATATCCAGAAGTGGGATTGCTGGATCATATGGTAATTACAATTTTAGCTTTTTGGGGAACCTTTATACTATTTTCCAAAATGGCTGTACTAATTTACTTTCCCACCAACAGTGTACCAGGGTTCTCTTTTCTTCACATCCTCTCCAACATTTGTTATTATTCATCTTTTTGATAATAGCCATTCTAACAGGCTTCAGGTGATGTCATTGTGGTTTTAATTTGCATTTCCTTGATGGCTAGAGATACTGAGCATTTTTCATACATCATGATAGGTGCATTTTTGATGTGTTTGAGGTGAAATTAACTCTTTCGCCTCACGAATTTTATTGGTGATAACTTTTTTTTCTTTGAGACGGAGTTTCACTCTGTCACTCAGACTGAGGTGCAGTGGCGTGATCTTGGCCCACTGCAACCTCCGCCTCCCGGGTTCAAGCGATTCTTCTGCCTCAGCCTCCTGAGTAGCTGGGACTACAGGCTTGCACCATCACAGCCGGCTAATTTTTACTTTATTTTATTTTTTTGAGATGGAGTTTTGTTCTTGTTGCCCAGGCAATGGTGTGGTCTCTTGTTGCCCAGGCAATGGTGTGCAATGGTGTGGTCTCAGCTCAATGCAACCTCTGCCTCCTGGGTTCAAGTGATTCTCCTGCCTCAGCCTCCCAGGTAGCTGGGATTACAGGTGCCCGCCACCACACACCCAGCTAATTTTTTTGTATTTTTAGTAGAGATGAGGTTTCACCATGTTGGCCTGGCTGGTCTTGAACTCCTGACCTCAGGTGATCTGCCTGCCTCGGCCTCCCAGAGTGCTGGATTATAGGCGTGAGCCACCACTCCCGGCCCTAATTTTTATTTTTTTTTTTACTGTAGAGATGAGTCTTGCTGTATTGCCTAGGCTTGTCTCGAACTCCTGGGCTCAAGTTATCCTCCTGCCTCAGCCTCTCAAAATGTTGGGATTACAGGTGTGAACCACTGCATTTTGCCAAGACATTTTTATATTAATTCATTAGGTAAATTTACTACATGTTAAGATGAGTTACATTTATTTTTTTCTTCTTGAGATGGAGTCTCGCTCTGTCACCCAGGCTGGAGTGCAGTGGCACGATCTCAGCTCACTTCAACCTCTGCCTCCCGGGTTCAAGCAATTCTTCTGACTCAGTCACCCAAGTAGCTGGGACTACAGGCCTGTGCCACCACACCCAGCTAATTTTTTGTATTTTTAATAGAGATGGGGTTTTACTGTGTTAGCCAGGATGGTCTCGATCTCCTGACCTCATGATCCGCCTGCCTCGGTCCCCCAAAGTGCTGGGATTATAGGCATGAGCCACCGCGCCTGGCCTGAGTAACATTTTTTATAAAAAATAATTATTAAAAAGATTAGTGAGAAGAGAGGCACTGTTCAACATTTTTGCAAAATTTTTTTAACATCTGGCTTAGTTAGAAGATGGCTAGATTCTGTAATTTGTTTCGTCATTCAGTCTGTTATGTTGTCACACGCCACGTAGTGTCTGGAAATCTCCATACTTATGAGCTAATGAGAATGGAAAACACAAATAATGTCTTAGTATTATTCTGAGCATAGTTGTGGCTTTGTGGATGCCCTGCAAGGTCTTGGGGTCCTTTTGGGGTGATCCAATCATACTTTGAGAACCATTTCTTTAGGAAAGTATCAGGATACTGTTACCACATTACAAAATGTTCTTCATCCCCCTTCCTGTCTCACAAAGGTCTTTCTACTGATATTTTTGGAAACATGGAAGGAAAGTACATAAAAGGAAATAATCATCCATATTCCTGCAACATAGTTAAGCACAGTATCCTCTGTATTATATGGGAGAAATTTTAGTTTACTGATACTGAATTCAGTAACTGATGTGTTTCCATATTTGCACTGGTTGCTTGGAATCTAACCGTCAAACCCTTTCTTAAGAAATGTATGGGCTGGGCACGGTGGCTCACACCTGTAATCCTAGCACTTTGGGAGGCTGAGGCGGGTGGATCACCTGAGGTTGGGGGTTTGAGACCAGCCTGGCCAACATGGTGAAACCCTGTCTCTACTAAAAATATAAAAATTAGCCAGGTGTGGTGACGCATGCCTGTAATCCCAGCTACTTGGGAGGCTGAGGCAGGAGAATAGCTTGAACCCAGGAGGCGGAGGTTGTAGTGAGCTGAGATCACGCCACTGCACTCCACCCTTGGCAACAGAGTGAGACTCTGTCTCAAAAAAAAAAAAAAAGAGAAAAAAGAAAAAAGAAATGTATGAGGCTGGGTATGGTGGCTCATGCCTGTAACCCCAGCACTTTGGGAAGCTAAGGCAGGTGTATCACTTGAGTCCAGGAGTTCAAGACCAGCCTGGGCAGCTGGGCAATAGAGAAATCCTGTCTCTAGAAAAAATAGAAAAAGTTAGCTGAGCGTTGCGGTCTGCACCTGTAGTCCCAGCTACTTGGAAGGTGGAGGTGGGAGGATTACCTGAGCCCAGGAGGTGGAGGCTGCAGTGAGCCATCATCATGCCACTGCATTCCAGCCTGGGCGATAGAGTGAGACAATGTCTCGGGAGGAAAAAAAAAAAAAAGAAGAAGAAATGTATGGAATTCAATGTTTTCCTAAGGGAAGATTTAATATGAATTCTCTAACTTGTAGCAAATGATAGAAACTCAACTCAAATGAGTCAGGTAAGAGAAAAAATTTACTGGCTTTTGTAACTGGGAAATAGCCAGGCCGGGCATAGTGGCTAACGCCTGTAATCCGGGTACTTTGGGAGGCCGAGGCTGGTGGATCACTTGAGGTCAGGAGTTTGAGACCAGCCGGGCTGACACAGTAAAACCCTGTCTCTACTAAAAATATAAACATTAACTGGGTGTGGTGGCATATGTCTGTAGTCCCAGCTACTTGGGAGGTTGAGGCAAGAGAATCGATTGAACCCAGGAGGCGGAGGTTGCAGTGAGCCAAGATGGCATCACTGCACTCCAGCCTGGGTGACAGAGCAAGACCCTGTCTCAAAAAAATAAAATATTAAAATAAATAAATAAATAAATAAAAATAAAAATAAGCAGGCAAATCCTTACTTCAGGCATGGCTGGATCTAGGAGGTCATTAGGCTTTACTTCATGGTCTTTGAGTTCTGATGGTCTGGTTGACTGCGTCTAAGAGCTCCTGCAGTGTCACCAGGGCTCTAGCTCCATCTCTTGATTCAGCTGTTTGTTGGCTTCCTATAGAATTGTTCTCTCTATGTGGTAGGAAAAATGGCTACCAGGGGCTGCAGAATGATATTTTCTTTGTCTAGAAACTACAACAGAGAGAAGTCTGTCTCCCAATGTCAGCATTTGATTTCAAGGGCAACTCTGGCTGTAGGTATGAATGAATGACAGGGTGTTGCTCTGTGTCTCAGGCTGGAGTGCGGTGGCATGATCATGGCTCACTGCTCCAGCTCAGTTTTGGTTATGTAGCTATCCTGTGTTTCTAGGAGTAGGGGTTGTGCCATAGTAGACACCCAGCTAGAGCTGCACGGACTTGGGGAGGAATTCCCAGGCAAAGGGTGACTGTTTCCAGGAGAAGGGAAATTGGAAAGTGCTTTGAGCTGATTTTAAAAAGAATAGTTACATGGACCCTTACCTCATACCATACATAAGAATTAATTCAAAGTGGAACCAAGAATGAAATATAAGAGGTAAAACTATACAACTCTGGGAGGAAAGCATAGGGACAGCTCTTCATGACCTTGTATTTGGCAGTGGTTTCTTACATAAGACACCAAAAGCACAGCAACAAAAGAAAAAATAGATAAATTAGACTTAATCAAAATTAAAAACTTTTGTGCCTCAAAAGATACCTATCAATAAGTGAAAACAAAACCAACAGAATGATTAAATATTTGCAAGCCCTATATCTGATAAGGGCTTATGTCTAGAATAGATAAAGACATCTTAGAACTGTACAATAAAAAAACAAACAACCTGCCATTTAAAAATGGGCAAAGGCACTGCACTGCAGCCTGGGCGACAGAGTGAGATCCTGTCTCTAAAAACAAAACAAAACAAATGGGCAAAGGGCTTGAATAGACATTTCCCTCAAGAACACATACAATGGCCAAAAAGCACATCAAAAGATGCTGAATATCATTAGTCATTAGGGCAATACAAATCAAAACCACAATGAGATACCACTTCACACCTACCTACTAGGCTGACCATAATAAGGAAACAGAAACTAGTAACTGTTGGTGAGGATGTGGAGAAATTGGAACCCCCATGCACTGCTAACGGGAATGTAAAATGATGTAGCCACTGTGGAAAATAGTTTGGTGATTTCTTAAAAAGGTAAACATCTGAGCTCTATGGGGCATAAAAAACAACAACAACAAACAACAACAGAAAAAGGTAAA
The DNA here is from genome assembly GCF_000001405.40 of Homo sapiens. Classification (NCBI taxonomy): domain Eukaryota; kingdom Metazoa; phylum Chordata; class Mammalia; order Primates; family Hominidae; genus Homo; species Homo sapiens. The sequence continues at coordinate 28,714,054 of NC_000022.11, read as the reverse complement.
CATAGAATTATCACGTGACTCAGAAATTCTCCTTCTAGGTATATAAATTCCCCAATTTAAAAAACAAGTGTCCAGGCTGGGCACGGTGGCTCACGCCTCTAATCCCAGCACTTTGGGAGGCTGAGGTGGGTAGATAACCTGAGGTCAGGAGTTCGAGACCAGCCTGCCCAACATGGTGAAACCCCGTCTCTACTAAAAATACAAAAATTAGTTGGGCGAGGTGGCACACACCTGTAATCCCAGCTATTCAGGAGGCTGAGGCACGAGAATTGCTTGAAGCCAGGAGGCAGAGGTTGTAGTGAGCCGAGATTGTGCCACTGCACTCCAGCCTGGGTGACAGATCGAGCCTATATCTCAAAAAAAAAGCAAACAAGTGTTCAGACAAAAACTTGTACATGTGGCCGAGTGCGGTGGCTCACGCCTGTAATCCCAGCACTTTGGGAGGCCGAGATGGGAGGATCACGAGGTCAGGAGATCAAGACCATCCTGGCTAACACAGTGAAACCCCCCTCTACTAAAAATACAAAAAGATTAGCCGGGCGTGGTGGCGGGTACCTGTAGTCCCAGCTACTCGGGAGGCTGAGGCAGAATGGCGTGAACCCGGGAGGCGGAGCTTGCGGTGAGCCGAGATCACGCCACTGCACTCCAGCCTGGGCGACTGAGCGAGACTCCATCTCAAAAAAAAAAAAAAAGAAAACTTGTACATAAATGTTCATAGCAGCTTTAGTCACAATGAAGAAGTATAATTTATCTATTGTTTTTCTTTTGTTGCTTATGCTTTTGTTGTCATACTGAAGAAACCATTTACAAAAGGTGGAAACAAACCAAATAAATGTCCGTCGGAAGGTGAATAGATAAACTGTGATACTTCCATATAATGGAATATTATTCAGCTGTAAAAAGGAATGAAGTACCACAAATGTTATGGCATTACGCTAAGTGAAAGAATCCAGACACGAAAGGCTACATATTGTATGATTACATCAATATGAAATATTCAGAATAGGCAAATCAATATTTAGAGAAAGTAGATTAGTGGTTGCCAGGGGCTGGGGGCTGAGTGCTGGGGACAGGGTAGAGTGAGGAGTGACTGCTTAATTGCTTAACAGGTACAGGGTTTCCATTTGAGCTAATGAGAAAGTTCTGGAATTAGATGCTGATGGTTGTAGAACATTGGCAAATGTACTTAATGCTACTGAATTGTACACTTTAAAATGATTACAGTGGTAAATTTTGTGTTATGTATATTTAACACAATAAAAAAGATGTCTTGGTAAGCCCCTCAACTCACCCCTTCAAAACCCACAATAGTTATAATAGTCTACTTCATAATGGGTAATTGATGCCCTAGTAGCCATTATCTTGGGCTGACCCAAGCTTTGGAGGACAGATCCTACTCAGGATTAACTGTGTTCTGGGTAATGGCTTGGAGAGCATTCCTCCTCCATGAGTAGTATCCCATTTAACTGCAAATCTCTGTGAGAGGTTGCTGAAAGTAGGCTGATTGTGTAATACGTTTGGTTTCTTAGGTAATCTGATTTGATTTAGGGTGCAACTTATGTCATCAACTGCTTATGCACTTCCTTTGAAGATGGAGAATAAGAAGGAAAGAAATTTATCCATTAAAGTTATTCATTTGCAGATTCTGTTTACCGTTATTTGTTTGTTTTGGGCACTTATTTTTGACCAGGGAGGACTGTTTCTAGTTAATGTTTTTCTGACCTCTCGGATACGTAGTTTCTCTCTCATTTTTCTCTTAGTATCTTTCTGGGAATTTCACAATCCAGGGCTACAGTAAGACCCATGTTTGTATTGCTGGGCTCAGAAATGGAATTTGGAGCTGACTTAGTGTTTTTGGCTGTTAAGCCCTTGACATTTTACACTGGTGAAGTTTCACTGTGTCCTCTGCAAACAGGGACAATGGAAAGGCTGTTATATGGAATGTCTGTAAATTCTAATACTTGAAGTGGACCCAGGAGTGGTAGGTCTCATAATTAAAAACATTCAGACAATCACTATCTTTGTTTTTCCCTCTAGTGGTGCCTGTGGAGAGGTAAAGCTGGCTTTCGAGAGGAAAACATGTAAGAAAGTAGCCATAAAGATCATCAGCAAAAGGAAGTTTGCTATTGGTTCAGCAAGAGAGGCAGTAAGTACCAATAAAAGGCTGATCACCTTTTATTAACACGTCTTCATAACTTCCCAAAATAATCTTAGATTGATGATTTTTAAACTCAGGAATAACCCCCTGCTTAGATGGATGAATTTGTGAGTATCAAAGAACATGGAAAATTTTGGGGCATCTTTGATTAATCTAGAAACTTTTACTTATAGATAATTTGGTTCCAAAAGTATTTAATTGTACATAATAATGAGCATAGTGGGAAGTTTTTTTTTTTCTTCTTCCAAGTTCAAAGTCGTTACAAGATTGTTTTTACAATAAATGACAGGAAATTAGAGAAAAAAATTCAGCCATAATCCCCACTGTAACCCCACAGCTGTTTTCAGTTTTCCTTTTCCTTCTAGATTTTGTTCAGATGAAATCGTGTTTTTAGATGGTTGAAATCATCTTGTATATACAGTTTTGTATTTTGCTTTTCCACAAATGCATTATAGCATAGACTTTTGCCTAATACATCCTTTTTGATGACTGAGTTTTCATGTCATCAACTTTATTGTAATTTACTTAACCATTTCTCTGGCTGATCATTTAGGTAATTTCTTATTCTTTGCTGTTCTGGGTAATATGGCAGTGAGTATCCCTGGTTTATGGATTAGCCATAGATTTTTAAAATTTTAATTAAATCATTGAAATAGCCTTTCTTTATAGCAGCCATTTATTTTACTACTCTTTTGTAATCAACATTTACTGTATGGGAGAGATGGCCAAATGCATTGGTCTTTCCACATGTGACTCAACAAAGTAATGTAAAACACAGCCTCTAATCACATTTTCCCTAGTGGCCAGCTGTTTCTGGCTATTATACTTTCACATTCTTTAAAGATCAATTTTTTTTCCCCCTAGACAATGCCATTCTCACATGGCAAGAGGAATTTCCTTTTTGTGTTCACTTTGTTATAGATCTTTTCCCCTATGATTCTAAGATTTGTTTCCCATTTTGGGGAGAAGAAAATACCAACTAGATTGTTAAAAACTGGGAGTAAAATTTTACGTTTTGATTTCATTATTTGAATCAGATTGGACCTTTGTGACCATCCTGTTATCAGAGTATACCCTGACTTGGTAATGAGTTTAGCGGCTTACAGGAAGAGGCAGGCTCTTAAAATTAAACATCTGGGTTTCTTAGCTGAAGTTCATTTTACATAAATATGTAATTCTATCTCCTCTTTGCTTGTGGAGGGTGTAGCCCAGGAAGCTGAGTTACTTGATTCATCCTTTTGGAATTGTAACAGAACAACTTTAGTACCCTGAAGCCTCCTCTTGTCAGAGTCTCAGTAAATATGCGAGGCTGCTGTTGAAGTTGGAACCTGTATCTGCTCTATTAGCAGAAATTTGACTTCACATTTTCTTTATATAGTTTAATTGAACACCTTCTTGTTCATGTTTTTTGTTTATCATTTTAATGAATAAAAATAGTTCCATAGCTAATAAGTAGGGTTTACTAATTAAAATGAACACAGTGGAAACACACTTGTTTCTGACTGTGGAGACTAGGGCAAGTGGCTTCTGTTTTCTGAGCCTTGGTTGCCCCATCTGTAAGATGGGGATTCTGAGGCTTATGAGACATGATCTCTGTAAATAAAGAGCTTGGCACAGGGCCTGGCCATTTATTGAGTGCTTACTATTTGCCAAGCATTTTACAAAGTTATTTTAGGTGAGGTATTTAAGTCATTGACCTGGGCTTTGATTTCTTTGTATAAGTAGAGCTGGGTTTGGAACTCAGGCAGCCTTGAGTCAACTGAGTTTAACTGTAAATGTTTTTTTAAATATTGGCAATTATTATTACTAATAAACTCTGTTATTCTGTTTATCAAAGGACCCAGCTCTCAATGTTGAAACAGAAATAGAAATTTTGAAAAAGCTAAATCATGTAAGTATTATTATATGACTCATACTTAGATTTATCTATCTCAAAATATGAGAAGAGTATAAAGCCTTTCAGTATAATAAAGATAATATTGGCCAGGTGTGGTGGCTGATGCCTGTAACCCTAGCACTTTGGGAGGCCGAGGTGGGTGAATCACCTGAGGTCAGGAGTTTGAGACCAGCCTGGCCAACATGGTGAAACCCTGTCTACTAAAAATACAAAAATTTAGCTGGGCATGGTGGCACATGCCTGTAATCCCAACTACTTGGGAGGCTGAGGCAGGAGAAGTGCTTGAACCTGGGAGGCAGAGATTGCAGTGAGCCAAGATCGCGCCACTGCACTCCAGCCTGGGCGACAGAGTGAGACTGTCTCAGAAAAAAAAACAAGAAAAATTAAAAGAATAAATAAAGCTAATATTAACCTGGGTTCTTTAACTTATGTGTA